>NC_000006.12:23696363-23999393 GCF_000001405.40 Homo sapiens
TTCATGTACACGACTGCCAACTTCTTTAACTTCACCCAAAGAATGATTTGGAGCCTGTCATCAGAGGAGAACAGAGTGGTAGAGCCAATAGTGGGGACACTGATGGAATTAATAATTTGGAGACTATGTAGCCAATGACATATTTCACCCAGACATGGAGATCACCATTGAAACCAGAGTAAGTGACTTGAGGGGCAAGTTTCTTTTAGCCAAGCAAAGATTAACAATGTGGCATAAAGAATTTGGCTTTGGGAATGCACAGAATAGAATTTGAATTCTGGGCCTGCCACTTATTTGCTGTAGGCAAGTCACTTTGTCTATCTGACGTTTAATTTCTCATGCATGAAATTAAAGCAATAATACTAACATTAAAGAGCAACTGTGATAATTAAGAAAAACTCATCATAATTTGGCTGCATTGTCCTACTGCATTAACTCCCTAAAACTCTATGCATGACCTCTGGGAACCATATTCTTTCAAATCCTAAGACATAGTTGATGATTCTTAAGAAATGCATTCACTCAGGGCTACAATGAAATCATGCTGACCTTATTCTATGAAGGCAACAAATCATGGCTTGCTCTTCATGAGTTTTATCCTTGAATTCTACTTATATGTATTCGCCAGAAACTTCTGTTTATAGGTTGCCCTTTAAAAGACACAGAATTACTCACGTCCTTAAAAATCCTGGACTTGCATCTGCCAGAAACTCTGAGATTCACTCCTTCCCACCCGCACACCCGTCTTCATTTATAGTCTTTCATCCTTTATACATGACACCTCTGGCTGGGTGCCTGGAAGGGAAATGCATGACCCATAAAGTTAACCTACCTCAGGAGCAGTAGACAAACAGGCTTAATTTAACCCAGAAGACACCAAGAAGTAATAACTTGGAAATGGAGACCAGGCTGAGCTAATATATAGGCAGCCTTGAGGACTATCATTTATAGCAGGGTGTACAGCATTCAGGCACGGATTAGCTCACCCAGAAGGCAGTGAGCCAGCAGCCAAGTCTCAACTTTAATTATAAGATAACTGGTAGGTTTCTGCTCTACATATTCCAGGCAATTTGGTCAGCTGAAAGAGTATATATCCGTCTTGCTCCAACGCAAGCCACCATGAGCAAATTTGTGACTCAGTAAAAGGTAACATAATATGTTAAGTGATACATCAGACTGCCCACCCCTAAATCGTCCCAAAGGGAAGATCATAAAATTATAGTACGTTTACGTAAGTGTGAATCCTTAAATATCTCCAATCTAGAATAATTGTTTTGGTATATGGGAGAACATGTGAGTGTATTTTTAAGAAAATAGGGATGAGAGCAGGTTCTTTCTCAAGCATTTTGTTCCAATGACTTATTTCTGCCATCCAATTTAACACATCTAAAACAGAAAATGAGAAAATTAAGAAATATGAGTAAAATAGAGTCTAAGAGAAACCACAAAATCTGGTGTCACTATCAGGCTGTCTTTTTCAAGCCTTTCTCACTTCACAAATCTGCATTTACTCCAGAGCTGGAAGAAAATTGCTATGAGGACAAACCACTGGGGAATCTTACTCTGTTGGTTTAACAGCCCAAACCAGGGTCTAATGATTAGCAGTCTCATGCTTGGCCTGCTGCTTTCTTTATTCCTTCCTCTTTAAATATCCTGGTACAGTGATAGAGTTTTGTTTGATTTCTTCCTGCTCCTAATAGCTTCTTGGATAGCCAAGAAGCAGTGTCAGAGGCACAATCGCCTTGAAGGGATAATGTCTTTTCCTGAACCAAAGGAGGCTGCTTTGATTAGAGAAAGGAAGGAATGGGAAGAGGACACATCATTTCTCCTTACTATTATTAATTACAGTAAATTTTCATTTTCAGAAAGAGACATATTTATTCTCAATAACTTCCCAAACTTAAGATGAATTACAGCCCATAACTGTAAGATGGTTTTCAATTGTGGATTGTTATTGTAAGAAGAGGCAGAAGACAGTCACTCATTCGTTCATTTAACAAACATTCATTCAGCCCCTGCTCTGTTTCAAGGATTCTGCTAAAGGCTAACAATATGAAAATATAGAATACATAGACTCCCAAACAGCTCATCATTCAGAAGAGGTCACAGATAAGGATACAAATCATTTCAACATCACGCGATATTTTTATAGTGGTGCTACATCCAATTTCATCAGAACCACAGTAAAGTAGAAGGGAATTTAAGTCTAGCTACAGACAGTAGGGACTTACATTACAAAAGTTTATTTGGGCTGGGTGCGGTGGCTCACGCCTGTAATCCCAGGACTTTGGGAGGCTGAGGCAAGTGGATCACAAGGTCAGGAGTTCAAGACCAGCTTGACTAACATGGTGAAACCTCGTCTCTACTAAACATACAAACAAATTAGCCATGCGTGGTGGCATGTGCCTGTAATCCCAGTTACTGGAGAGGCTGAGGCAGCAGAATCGCTTGAACCTGGGAGGCAGAGGTTGTGGTGAGCTGAGATCATGCCACTGCAATCCAGCCTGGGCGACAGAGAAAGACTCCATCTCAAAAAAAAAGTTAAAGTTAATTTGGTTGAGCACATAAGCTGAAATTTGAAAATGGTATGGGAGTTTGTCAGACAGAACAATGGGAAAATGCAGGCCAAGGGAAGAGTATGGAAATGAGTAGATGAGTAGTCCCAACAAGGTAAAACGTGAAGGCTAAGAAATGAGGTAACAGCAGAGACAAGGGCCAGGACTTGGATTTTCTTCTGCAGATGATGGAAAGGCATTGAAGAATTTAAAGCAGGGAAATAAAGTCAAATTCAAGGTTAGAAAGTTTGCAACAGAAGCAGACAAGGGTGTGAATGGGAGGGGATAAAGTGGAGGCAGGGAGACTGCTGTAGTGATCCACATAGGTGGATGGTGGCCATGGCAATGGAGAGGGAGAGGAAAGTAGAGCATGACAGAACACTGGAACCGTTTGGGTATAGACACAAAGGTTTTTGATTTGGGCAAACCTAAGAAGAAACACTTTACTATGAGGAAATCCATTCAATCATTTTCAGGAGCTGTAGTTCAACTATTCAACTAGTACTAATTTGAATAGTACAAGACATCATATATTTGATACAATGGTATCATGATATATATTCCAAATAGAGAATTCCAGAGGATTCCATTTGAGTTGAGGTGAATGGAGAAAAGTGAGGTACAGCAAAGTAAGAGTCATTTATTTTCTCTATTGTTGCTTCTGATGTTCCCTGTTACGGAAAGTGTGAGTACGGAGTTGTAATCAGAAAACCTGGGTCAGGACCAACACTTTTTACAAAATGGCTTTCTTCCTACACATACTTTATATAGTTTAGAATCAAGTGTATGAATCTCCTTCCTGGGAAAGAAATGATCAGTAACTTTCAAACATTGCAAATCATAAATTACTCAGAATGTAACTAACAAGTGTTAACTGAGCACCTGTCATGTGCCAATGCTCTTCTGGGCCCTATGTATAGAGGGATAAATGATACAGTAGGACTAGTATTAAAAATACAGAAGTCAAAAATTAGCCAGGCATGGCATGTGCCGGTAATCCCAGCTACTCAGGAGGGCGAGGCAGGTGAATCGCTTAATCCCAGGAGGCAGAGGTTGCAGTGAGCTAAGATCACGCCACTGCACTCTAGCCTGGGTGACGGAGCAAGACTCCATCTCAAAAAAAAAATATATATATATATATATATGTGTATGTGTGTGTATATATATATGCGTATATATACATATGTGTGTATATATGCATATATACATACACATGGGGTGTATATACATGCATATATATATATATACACACGGGGGTATATATATATACGCATGGGGTGTGTATGTGTGTGTATGTGTATATATACACACACATATGTATAAAAGACAGTCGAACTCAAAGTAAAATGTAGCACTTACTAGATGGTTAACAGAGCTTGTATCACATGAAGAATTTCCCCAGGAGCTGATACACTTGTTAAAATTGTCTACCAGCAGGACTGTGCCTCATCAAAGAGGCCTTGACTCATAGCCTACCTAGAGGCTACTTTTGTTTCTATTCTCAAGATAGTCATCATTCTTCCTAGAATTTAAAATAACCTTCATTTGTGTCTTTGCTCTTCTCATCTCAAATTCATCATTTTTCCTAGGACCCCATTTGTTTGTCTTTAACACATGGTTAGCGAGATTAACCTACATGACGAGAATAAGTAACACCTAACAAAATTTATCACGATCAGGCACAGTGGCTCACTCCTGTAATCCCAGCACTTTGGGAGGCCGAGTGGATCACCTGAGGTCAAGAGTTTGAGACCAGCCTGGCCAACGTGGTGAAACCCCGTCTCTTCTAAAAATAAAAAAAAATAATTAGCTGGGTGTGGTGACGTGTCCCTATAGTGCCAGCTACTTGGGAGGCTAAGGCAGGAGAATCCTTTGAACCCAGGAGTCGGAGCTTGTAGTGAGCCAAGATCTCACCACTGCACTCCCGCCTGGGTAACAGAGTGAGACTCCGTCTCAAAAAAAAAAAAAAAAAAAAGTAGGAAGAATCAATATCGTGAAAATGGCCATACTGCCCAAGGTAATTTACAGATTCAATGCCATCCCCATCAAGCTACCAATGCCTTTCTTCACAGAATTGGAAAAAACTACTTTAAAGTTCATATGGAACCAAAAAAGAGCCTGCATCGCCAAGTCAATCCTAAGCCAAAAGAACAAAGCTGGAGGCATCATGCTACCTGACTTCAAACTATACTACAAGGCTACAGTAACCAAAACAGCATGGTACTGGTACCAAAACAGAGATATGGATCAATGGAACAGAACAGAGCCCTCAGAAATAACGCCGCATATCTACAACTATCTGATCTTTGACGAACCTGAGAAAAACAAGCAATGGGGAAAGGATTCCCTATTTAATAAATGGTGCTGGGAAAACTGGCTAGCCATATGTAGAAAGCTGAAACTGGATCCCTTCCTTACACCTTAAACAAAAATCAATTCAAGATGGATTAAAGACTTAAACATTAGACCTAAAACCATAAAAACCCTAGAAGAAAACCTAGGCATTACCATTCAGGACATAGGCATGGGCAAGGACTTCATGTCTAAAACACCAAAAGCAATGGCAACAAAAGACAAAATTGGCAAATGGGATCTAATTAAACAAAAGAGCTTCTGCACAGCAAAAGAAACTACCATCAGAGTGAACAAGCAACCTACAAAATGGGAGAAACTTTTCGCAACCTACTCATCTGACAAAGGGCTAATATCCAGAATCTACAATGAACTCAAACAAATTTACAAGAAAAAAACAAACAACCCCATCAAAAAGTGGGCGAAGGACATGACCAGACACTTCTCAAAAGAAGACATTTATGCGGCCAAAAGGCACATGAAAAAATGCTCATCATCACTGGCCATCAGAGAAATGCAAATCAAAACCACAATGAGATACCATCTCACACCAGTTAGAATGGCAATCAGTAAAAAGTCAGGAAACAACAGGTGCTGGAGAGGATGTGGAGAAATAGGAACACTTTTACACTGTTGGTGGGATTGTAAACTAGTTCAACCATTGTGGAAGTCAGTGTGGCGATTCCTCAGGGATCTAGAACTAGAAATACCATTTGACCCAGCCATCCCATTACTGGGTATATACCCAAAGGACTATAAATCATGCTGCTATAAAGACACATGCACACGTATGTTTATTGCGGCACTATTCACAATAGCAAAGACTTGGAACCAACCCAAATGTCCAACAACGATAGACTGGATTAAGAAAATGTGGCACATATACACCATGGAATACTATGCAGCCATAAAAAATGATGAGTTCATGTCCTTGTAGGGACATGGATGAAGCTGGAAACCATCATTCTCAGTAAACTATCGCAAGAACAAAAAACCAAACACCACATATTCTCACTCATCGGTGGGAATTGAACAATGAGATCACATGGACACAGGAAGGGGAACATCACACTCTGGGGACTGTTGTGGGGTTGGGGGAGGGGGGAGGGATAGCATTGGGAGATATACCTAATGCTAGACGACGAGTTAGTGGGTGCAGCGCACCAGCATGGCACATGTATACATATGTAACTAACCTGCACAATGTGCACATGTACCCTAAAACTTAAAGTATAATAATAAAAGAAAAAAAAACTTAAAAAAAAACCATTGAGGAAATAAAAAAAAAAATTATCACAGACACATAAAATATCTGCATATCTGATCACCTTAACTTGCAATGACATTACTGATACTATATATGAGAGGCAAAGTAATTTCTAGTCGGAACTTCAAAATGAAGATTTTATTTTAGTTTTTTTCCATTTTTCTCCTTCCACTTGTCTCTGTTCCCTGCAGGTGTGCCTACCTTTAGGCTCCTGCCAGCCCCTAACTGTGAAACTTCAGCTAGTTCTCCCTACAGGCGGGACTCTCCAGCACGCCCGACTATTCCATAACTCCAAGTTACTTGCCTCCCCACTCTTTATAGCCAACAACTCATTGAGTCCCATGATTCTCTCCCACTCTTCAATTCCTTCTTTCCAAGAATAGTACCGGAAATCTAGCAGTGTTGAATCTCAGGCTCTGAGTCAGCCACTAGAGATGACATTCGTTTTGAAAAACAGAAGGCCTTTTAAGGCCTGGGCAACTGGAATTGCGTTGAGTAGTGTGTGTATATGAATATGTATATAGCAAGTCCTTGAATAACTTATTTCATTCAACATGGCTTTACTCAATGTTGCTTCATAATAATATTGATAAGAAATGAAATCAATTTTCCCAGACAGGGCTCCTGTTTGTATATAGTTTGCATGTTCTCCCTATGGCTATGTCGGTTTCCTCCCACATCCCAAAGACATGCCCAGCAGCTGAACTGGGTGTCTAAACAATTCTAGTCTGAGTGAGTATGGGCGCATATGTGAGTGCACCCTACAATGGGATGGATGACATCCTATCCAAGATTGGTTCCTGCCCTAATAGGTACGGCTCCAGCCACCCAAGGTAACCCTGAACTAGAATAAGCATTCAGACTGGGCCCCGTAGCTCACGCCTGTAATCCCAACATTTTGAGAGGCCAAGGCAAGTGGATCACTTGTGGTCAGGAGTTCGAGACCACCCTGGCCAATATGGCGAAACTCCATCTCTACCAAAAATATAAAAGTTAGCAGGGAATGGTGGCTCATGCCTGTAGTCCCAGCTACTTGGGAGGGTGAGGCAGGAAAATCACTTGAATCCGGGAGATGCAGGTTGCAGTGAATTGAGATCGCGCCACTGCACTCCAGCCTGGGTGACACAGCAAGACTGTCTCAAAAAAAATAAAATAAAAAAAAATAGAAACAAGTAAATAATTATCTTCCTTGTTGGTATTAATCTTTCTTAAATGTATGTGTCACTCCCATTTATTTCAATATTTAATGGAAGTGTTTCAGTCATTGTTTATAAGTTTGATGTTTTTATGACCAAAAATATGCCATAGGAAATTAAACCTTGTTTATATCAATTAGCCAATGGTAAAATGGGTTTTATTCTTTCCCTTGAAGTCTCAGTCTCCAACAACCTATTGATGACACTGAGGACTTACTGTATATATATGGATATGAATTTGTATATGAGCATGGATGTGTACATTATCCATATACGTATATGGGGTATACGCATGGTGGACCTGAATTCTATATCATGAGTCAGAAAGGAAGAAGTATTATAGCATGCCTTGTGCAGACAATAGAAACGTGAAAACATCTATATAATTCAGTCAGGGCCTATTCCAACAAAAAGAACCACCACAGAAGGATTAGTACAAAAGTGAGAACAACTTTAGTCAGGACCATGGATATTCTTTCAAATGTTGTTGGGATTATGGCTGGAAGAATACTTTAGATCCTCAGGGGACTTTCTCAGGTTAACACAGGTCTACAAAAGACCTCCTGGTGTATTGTCTTACCACTGAAATGGTGGCACACACGTCCCATGCCTGTGTTAGGTACCAGCATAAATCAATGTCAACTTTAAGAAAACAAAACTAAAGAAGCATCTTGCCTTCTCATCCCCAGCCTATTTTCTTAACAGAGACACCTGCACTACTTCCTTAACTAGAAATGACCTCTGGGATCCAAGCTGCACAGAAGAAACAAAAATGATGTGTAGTGAATGGAGGGAGAGAGACTCAACTGGATCCCTGAAGGATGGTGCAATATTGGCAATAGTTTTTATACTGCACACCCAGAGCCCTGCACAGCTTTTCTCAGAGATTCCTCTGTGTCATACATGTGTTCCAGGGGAAGGAGTAGGAGGGAGGGCTGAGTGGAGCCCCAGGCCCTTCACCCTCAACCAACCATCACAGCTCCACTCTTTCTGAGTAAATATGTGATCCCATTAAATTTCTATCTGCAGAAAGGATTCCCCAGACTAAAAACAGTGAACATACTGTTATAGGGTAACAAATTCTATATTTAGAATCATGACAGCTGGGTTCTAATATTGTCTCTGCGACCTCATCTTTCTGCACCTCCATTTGTCACTTGTACGTGCCTTCCACATAGAACTGTAGTAAAGATCAAGTGAGCCAATTTAAGGTATTTGCAAAACTGAAAAATATAATACCAATTTCAATGCAGGATTTATGGCATTAAGCTGACTACAGTCACCTATTTACCTATTTCATTGTGGAGCTGAAGGCTAACTTTTACCTTGCTTCCTCCACAATGTCAGAGATGATGTGGACCATGAAGACCCCATGGCCAGGATGTTATTCCTTTGCTCGGTAGTTTTGGAATGATTGTTAGGTTGTTGTTTATCCTATCTATTTGTTTTAGCAGCAGAAGTCTTTTTTATTTTTTCTTTTTTGTTTTGAAGTAAAACCTTACGTGGAATGCCATCACATTTTTAAAAATTAAAAAGAAAGAATAAAGCAGCCTGAACCAGTCGAAATGGAATTGGAGCCTTGTGGCTTGAGCTGACAGCCCTGGGGTGACAGAGCAAGACTCCATCTCAGAGGAACACCCCTGAGGTTCCTCTGAGGAATTCTAGGGCACAGCTGGTCAGAGTTGAATTACTCACTTGCCTCATATTTGCTATGTTAATACCACCTCCCAATTCTGTTTTGACACTGACGTTTTATCTTATCCCCTAAATCACTTTATTCAATACTTTCCTATTCTATTCTGAAGCAAGTGTGGGTTACTTCGAAATCTGTAGTGACATTTTAATTTTAATTAACAGTTAATTTGTCATTTTAATTAATTCATTCATTTTAATTTTGCCCTTTGTAATAACTTGAGCTTCAGTTTGAGAAATTGCCTTTTCCCCTTGCAAGTAAAGTTGATAGGGATAAAAGTTAAGGTGCCTGACTCCCATTAAACAAAAAGATGGCCAGGTAACTCAAGCTAAGCCAATAAGATTTTTTCTCAAGTCTCCAAATTGGAGCAAAGTTGCATGGGATGGGGGAAAAACAATAGTCATCACATGCATTAATCTTCATGATGGAATCCAAATACGTCTCTTGAGTGGTTCTTGAGTGAGGCCAGACCCAGACACCTTGAGCCAAATTGGCTCCGATCATGCCTGACTTATTTCCAAGCCTGTTTCTCCAGCATTCTTACCCATTCACAAAGCTACTTCTTATTCTTCTGATTAAATCCCTTTTGTTTAAATAAACCAGATTTTTTTGGCATGCAAAACAAAAACAAAACAAACAAAATGTGTGGTTAAGTTCACACCCTTAATTGCCCTCCAATTATACTAGACTATGTTTAAGTAGATAAATTCTAAAGGAATTCACCATGTACCTATAATATCTTGCGATGTTCTTCTTATACACAGATGGTTGTACAGGGTATTTTAAATATATTTTTGAATTTAGTTGCCAAACAATACAACAATGAACAGGTATTATTTTTATCCGTTTTATAGATGAACAAAATTCACATGTATTACATAACTTCCCTAGGCTTATATAGCTGGAGGGCAATCTCACAAAGACACATTGTTTCATTCCTAAACCCTGGTTCTTTCAACTTATATATTCTACCACAAATTAAATTATTTGGCTAAAGGAATGCTTTGCTTAGTGTCTTCATTGTAATTTGGGGTTGTGATGGTACTATTACATAATAATAAAATATAAATATTTTAGTATTTTTGTATGTTTTATTAAATATACTATATACTAATATATTAATCAGAATAATATTAGAAAATAAATTATTTTTTGTGCTAGGTTGAGAAGAACTTATTCACATAAACACATATTTCAAATGTTAATGTCATTCGTAGAATAAGCACATCCATGAGGTATCATATTTTATATTTCTTCCACATATATTCTTAGCCCAAGTCCTATTTCAGCTAAGCATTTACTGACTAAGCTGATCAAGCACCATTCACCTCTCCTGGAGGTCAGGAAGCACCTTGGTGTTTTATTAGTAATTCTGCTGATATGGATGAGATCATGTTTGGTTTCAGCCTTCAGACAGAAGTATTTCATCAATTTCCTAGAGGTTCTGGCAAATATCTGGCATTTTAAGTCAAGTTTAATCTCAACTCTTGATCTTTTCTTTAAGGAAATGCAACACTATGGACAGAAAGAAACAGTCAAGAATGTTAAGAAATGCATCTTCTTTCTGACCTGTGAGAACTGCAATGACATGTATTAAAGTTTAATCAGAAATTTCTCTAACCTGCTATCTTCCAAACTGCAAACCATGACACGTATCATTCACCTTTTAAACAGTAAGAAATCCACATTTTGTAAAAAAAAATGCACCTGTATGTAACGTATTTTAAACCAAAATCTATTAAAATTGCCTTCATATCAATATAAACCATAATATTTGTGTGTGTGTGTGTGTATATACATAAAATATTGATATAAAACATAATATTTGTGTGTGTCTGTGTGTATATACATACACAGTTTCGGGGCTCGATCTTTCATCAATTCATTTAAAATACTTATCTGCTCTGAGTACAAAAAAAATCTTTCTTCACTCAACAATCTCTTCATTTTTTCCAATCAATACTTATTTGAAGTTTACCTACTATGTGCCAAGAATTGTGTTAGGTACTGGCAATGAGGAAGAAAGATACAGTTCCCCAACTCCAGGGTTTGTAGGATAGTGGCAGAATAGGCAATGCATAAACAAACAAGTAAATACGACTTACAAACAGTTGACATATCCTGTGAAGAAACAAAGTGTCAGGAAACACTGGAAAGGGAAGCTAGTCCAGCTAAGTCACTCATGAAAGGCCCTTTGAGAACACCATGTTAATGCAGAGTACTGTATTGACATGAACTAGCAAAGGGTACAAAAAGGAATGTTCCAACAGAGACAGAAAAGAGCTCAGCATCTTCAAACATCCCATTAGTCAGTATGGCAAGAACTGTGATCAAAAGGAGAGAGTGGCACGAGATGAGTTAGGCAGGGGCCAGGCCAGCCAGGACCTCCTGGGCCAAGAAAAGGTGCTTAGGTTTTACTCGAAGTGCAGGAAGGCTAATCGGGAAAGTGAGAGGGTGTAATTTGTATTTTTATATCCACTCTAGCTATTGGATGGAAAATAGATTGGAAAAGACACCAGGCTATTGCAATAGCCCTGACAAAAATGATGGGATGGAGTGGAAACAGTAGAGACAGAGAAAAGCAGAAAGGATTTAGAGAGAGAGAAGAAGAAGACAGGCAGAGAGGCTCTTCATAAATAAAATAACTTTTGTGCAAAAGTATGTGAATAATTCATGCTCATCTGCGTGTTTAAGTACCGAACCAAAAAGATGAGGGGGTAAAACAATATTTCCAGTTCTATCAAATAGAAACATTCCCAAACGTACACAGCAGTACACATAATGATATTACATATACCTTTGTCCAGCTTCCTGTATTCATTGTTGAAATCCCTCCAAATTAGCTGTATAAATTTCATTAGTTTTTACGTGGGTGCATGAACATTTTAGATATGGTTATATTGCATTTTATTCATTTCTTCCTGATAGGTGGATTTTCACTTTATTGGCAGGATTTTTTCCTGCAACTATAAACAATGCTCTTTCAAATGTATTTATTATATATTGGAGTTTTTATTTCTATGTTAGAGATTCCCAGGAGTGGAATTGATAGGTACGTTATTCCACATTTTTTCCATAAAGAGCTATAAAAATCCCATTTCTATCAGCAATATATGACAATAAACTCTTCTGCACATATCCACCAATGGTCACTATTATTTGTCATTCTTTCTGGCCTTCCACACATTCTTCAAATCTGGAAAGCTTTAAATGACAGTCTCTGTCCAATAAACACATCCAAGCAAGACCTTTAATGAGAATTGACATTAAGACTAAATGATATTAAAAAATCTATTCTGACAAGGGCAGGAAGAGTATTACCTAAGTTAGAGAGGGAGCAATGGGAATAAAATCCAGTGAAACTAGTCTGGTTTTGGACGTGTTGAGTTTAAAATGTCACTTCCAAGTAGAGATTATGGGTAGGCAGTGGGATATATGTCTAGAGATCAGAAAAAAATGTGGGCTAGACATGACAACGTCAGCATATGGATGGGAGGGCATCTAAACCTACAGTGCTGGAGGATCTCAGAAGAGACAGATCTCCAGCCTGAATCTCAAGGAATTCCAAATGTAGAAGTCAGCCCAGGTAAGGAGAGCCTGGGAAGCAAACTGAGAAAGAGCTACCAGGATGATGAGCGGTAAACCAGGTCACTGCAAATTAGGAAAGTTAATGGCTTCACATTCTCTTAACAGATCTCATCAAATAAAGACAGAGGACGCAAGAGCAGGTCCAGGTGAATGCTGAGGTAGAAAACAGCTTGAGCTATGTGAAGGAGGGAATGGGGAAGGGCAAACCTAAGCACTAAGGGAAAGATACATGAAGCCATGTGCCCTGATCTCTTCATCCTGAACCTTTGAAGCCCTGGAGGGAGGATGTGCTCAGAGTAAGTTTAGAGGAATGGCCAAGGTACAGGGACTCCATTGCTGCCCTGTAGGGCTTCTGAAGAAGGCTGCTGTGACAGTGACCCTGCACCATCTACACACAGGGTTAGCAGTGTTGTGACACCAAGAGAGTCTAATCAGCCTCCTGGGTCTTCTTCAGTACCAGTGTGTGGGGCAAAATGAGTTTAGGCCTGCAAACCTGTCATGGGATCCGCGATGCTGAAAGGAAAGAAGGAAGAGTACAGGGCCCCTAAAGGATCAAAAGCCTGGACAAGGATTTTGATAAAAGATAAGGCAGAAACTTTAAGTAAACTGTCGTCTCAGTGAGAGTTGAAAGGAGGCAATGGGAAGGAAAATCAGAGGGTCATTTGGATCCTCACCTAGCCTGAAACAAACAGCTCTGCTGTCATGAGGCATATGTGTTCCTAAAAATTACCATGGAATGCAAAATAGGACAATAGAAACCACAGGGCTTACCAGACAAATGAGGTTTGGGCACAACATTCAAAAATTTCATCTGTGACACATTAAAGAAAAAAACAGATTGGAATCTGATAAAAATTCAAGCACAGTGTTACACGTTACATGGTTTTAAAACACATAAATATTACACTACAATAAATATGATACTTTACCTTGAAAAAGAGCTGAACTCTGCCTACAAAGTTGACATTGAAAGAGTTGCAGCTTGTTAGTCATTGAGAAGTAGTGGAAGGATGGGAGGGTACAACACCAAGTAAGGACTGGAGTGAAACATAGGGTAAACTGAGGCAGCTGAGAGCTGCTTGACGTGTGGCATATGTGTGTTTTACATATTCTTACAGGACATGGTTTTCCTGGGTACAGTTTTCAACATTGTTCTAATGTTTCTTGCTTAAGAAATTAAGCATAAGCAAAAGGAAGCAGGATTTATGCTCAAATTGTTCCCTGATAAATCAATTTCCTTTTCAAAACAAGCATTATAGCAGAACTGACCATACCCCATGAATTCATCAGCTGTAGATAGTAGCAGATGTCAGCAAAACAGAGAAAGGATGGCCCAATCATGTATTAGCAGATGTCAGGCAGGACACATTGGAGGACCAGCATTAGCGTCTGAGGACCTTTTCCCAAGGCTGTTCAGACCTGTAGAGCCCTGTATATAAGCAGGTTGCTATTTGAGAGAGGAACAGGACCAGAGGAGGGATTAGAAGTTTGAGCAACTATACAAAAGGACTAAGGAAAATCCAAAATGACTATAGGATAATTTCTTCAATCACTTTTACTTTTAAACCAGATTGTGGAATTAAATTTGGACCAATCTTACTCTCTGCCTACTACTCAAAGGGGCATAGGAGTTGGGCATATAAGACTAGATCAATTAAAGAGAAACAAAAAGATACAGTATTGTCATTCTTTCTCTCAAAAGCATGAATGAAGGTAAATGAAGATGTGCGTAGACAGCCACTCTGATAAGTTTGCTATAAAGAGGAATTGAGAAATGGGCCAATGACTGAAATGAAATATGAGTTCTACAATAGATTGTAGAGTAAATATTTTTTAAAGAAGATTAACCATTTTGCTATTTTTTTTTTAATTCAGCAATGCAATGTCAGCAAGAGACAGGGTTACTTGAATCAGATCTACCTGATGAGTTTACCAGGTTAACATGAGGGCAGTTATGAACTTCAATGGAACAGGCATTTTTGGGAGAAGAGAACGGTACAATAGCCAAGAAACAGTATAATTCAAGACAGAATCCAGTCCTACTTCCTGGTCCTAATGGATATAGGGTGTGATAAAACAAGCAGCGGCCCCTTGAGAGAACTTAGGGGACAGCAAAGAGGAAGGCAATGTTTCAAGAAGTAACCAACCATAGAAGGGACTTTGTTGATCACTGGTGATCTAGAGAGCACCGTGGAAGGGATGGCAAGGAGTAGAAGGGATGGGCAGAGAATTGTGGCTCATCAGGTATCATGTAGAACCATCGAAAGGAGAGAGTGCAGGAGATGCTCAATTGTCCAGAAGCTTGGCACTTCTGGTTGCAATCATGATGAGCACTGACCTAAGACTCCAGGACCC
Source organism: Homo sapiens (assembly GCF_000001405.40). Classification (NCBI taxonomy): domain Eukaryota; kingdom Metazoa; phylum Chordata; class Mammalia; order Primates; family Hominidae; genus Homo; species Homo sapiens. Next base: position 23,711,370 of record NC_000006.12, read on the forward strand.
AGCTGCTGTGTTAAGCTGCTGCAGCCCTCAATATTTCGTTGGGTGCAGTGCCAGCTTCCAGGAGGCTGTTTCTTCAGAATGGCAGCTTCCATTAAGGAAAAGAAAACAACCAGCGCTCATTGAACACGAATCCAGGTCATGCTGTAGGTTTGTCATATATGTCTCTGATTATCTTACAACTGCGTGAATTGTTTTCTAATTTACTAAACAACTGAAACTCAGAAAATTTTAATAATTTGCCAATAAATCAAAGAGCCAATAGTCAACTTTAACTTAAATACTAAAGTTCATGTTGTTTCATACCCACCATGTTCTTTGTTCCTCCTACGGCAAATAACCTCCATGAACAATAACCTTGTTAAAATGCAAATTGTTGCAAATTCATGGAGTAAAGATGTCAGATGAAATATATTTCTTGCTTTGATATAGTATTTACCACTGTATTTCATACATAGAAGGAAGCGCGTTTGTTTTTCTGGTGAATGCACAACTGAACAATATTTAAAAAAGAATGTTATTAATTCATTCAGCCACCTTAGATTAGAAGATCCTTATTGAGAAATCATGATTCATTTAGGGGAACATGGCAAAATGAGGAGTGTTAGAATTACTAGAATGTAAGCTTCCAGTGCCAACAATAGCGGCGACATTGAATTTATAAATAGTACCCACTGAATGAATGAATGAACAGACCAGTGAATAAACAGGCTTGAGCCCAGCAACCTCTAATTAGGAGTTACTTGGCCCTGGGCAAATCAGACTATTTAGGTTCTCTGAACCTTTTACTTTCTTAAATTTGTAAAATAAAGATAATGAATGGCTTACTGACATTTCAAGTGCAGTCTAAAAAACCAGATGAAGGAAACAACAAAAACTAGCCTTTGTTGAACTGATGTTAAAGACTCCTTGATAAGCAATTTTCTCTGTATCAATGAGGTATGAAAATAAAAGGGCTTTGCAAAGTTCTTGCAAATGACCATTTATTAAATAACTTATAAATGAGGGTCTATTGAATAGTTATTGGCCTGAATGTCTAAATGACTGAAAGGGTACTCTTAGAACCTGGATATTTAGGAAGGGTCAAAGAAAATATCATAATAAACAAATCTGGGAACATATTATCCCAAGAAACGGAATAGGCAAGCCACATGTCTGCATTAAGACAAGGTAAGAGCAAATTACTAATAAAGGAATCATAAAACTGAATGCTATTTGTAGCTGAATCCTAGTGAATCTTCACAGTTAATCAGTGAGAAGACAGCCATGCCCCCTCACAGCTATTCAATCAGGAATCCCAAGTTAAATAACTAGAAGTCTGAACCAGTGTGGCAGTATAGCATAGAATACAGGTAATTTTTTTCAAAGGTTGTGCAGAAAGTCAAAGGTAAAACAAGAAATTCAGTTTAGCACTCCTTAGCTACAATCTAATTTTATATCCTTCAACATACATTACCAAGTTCATGTTCTCCTGTGAGGTTTTGAGTTATTTCTATCCTACACTTCTGTTTCTAGCATTTCATTTTGCTAGAATTCTATAACCAGTGCATAAAAAGTAGGACAAACGCTGCCAAAACATGGAAGAGCTCTTGTTCCAATGAGTTTATCACCCAAAGGCACAAATAATGTAGGGAAAGAAAAATGAAATCACTGTGTAGTAGCAAGTGGTATAAATGTAATTATTTTCAGACTGGGAACTTGGAACATAATTTCCTAGGAGAGAAAGTGAAAGATTAGCAAATACTAACACTGGAGACTTGCGTCTGAAGGGTAGTACTCACACGTTTAGGGCAAAGTCTTTGAGACATAGGAAGATGATCATAGCCACATGGCATCAGTACCCCCTCTTCCTCAAATAGAACATTCACAGCCTGGGTCTTATTTCCACCACTTCCAGGTAACATTAGTAGTACCTGTCCAAGAACATTTAACATCTGTGCCCTCCTATGCTTGTATACTTGTTGATAGCAGATTCTTCAATACTAAGGACCTTCAGGATTCTATGGCATCATCATTACTAGCATGAAGACCAGTGGCAATAATGATTAACATTTGCTTCATGCTTCAAGATTTGCATCGTGTTTCAGTTTCAAGATTTACTCACCTTCAGTTTTTAATCTTTCTCAAACACATTATGGGTTTGGAAAGGTATGTTGTGTATCTTGCCTAAAAAGACATTGAAATATGCCTCTGATCACTGAACTCCAAGTTGCAAAGCTGGAGTTCACCCTCCAAACCACACCATCTACTTTGGCTTTTTATAAAGCTTATTCTGCCGAATTACCTGCTCAGCATCCACCTGAAGTTATAAACCCTTCATCCCAAACAATTTTTTATTTAATATATAGTATATGTTGTCCATGTTCTACATAGTATTCATGGTTATGTTTTTAATGTATCCATATTATTAAAAGTAGCATATTTTCCCGATTGTTATGCATTACAGCTACTTCTGTTCATTACAACTTTTTAAATTTTCAACAGCTTTGGTGAAGAGTTTCATAAATGGTAGTCTTTTCTTCTTTTATTAGTATTTCCTTGGGATAGATACCTAAGAGTTGGATTTTCATAAGTTAAAGGAGCATATGAAGTGTTATAGCTGTTATAGCCATTGCCAAATATCTTTCCAAAAGTATTGAACCAATTTACATGACTAACAGCAATATATGAAAATGGCAAATGTATCATTAATTTTGTGTACGTTTCTTTCATAACCCAATAGACAAAAATAAATGTAATTCATCAAACATTTATTCAAAACCAACTATCAAGAAATTTTCTAGACTTCGGAAATGCAAAAATGAATAAAAAAGGCACCAAACTTATTCTACAGGAGCTCTGGAGAGTTTTGCCACAGATAATTCCAGAGACTCAGAAGGCAGGTGTTACGTGCAGTTGGAACACATGTGTGTTTGGTGATCAAGTTATTTTAATAGGATTTGAGTGGTGATGTACCTCCCAGCTTTGCACGACTCCATCCTGAGTAAGTCATTCTTAGTTGTCAAGGCTCTCAGAAACAGGCCATGCTCATCTATGTTCCACATCAAACCTGAAAAATACTGACTCATCAACTGTTCTTTGTACAGTTTCCAGATGAATTGATTGATTTGGAACACAGGTAATATTTCTTTTCAAATTTTCAGGTACAAGATGTCATAAATCTTGTCTGACTCTTCCCAGACACCAGAAAAAAGTGTCTGTGAGGAAGGAACACTAGAGCAGAATGAGAAAACTTTCCTTCAGTCCTAAATCTGCCACTAAATATGGGACCTATGGCAAGATATCTAAGTAGTTTGTGTCTCACGGATAAAGTAGCTGAAAGTACTTTTTCTTCCTACTCCATGACCATCCTGATTTGATCAATAATTCCCGTCTCAAGCTGGCTCTCTGCTGGAAGTTTGTCTGTCTTCTCAGATTCCCTTACTGCTTCATACTTAATCCCAGTCACAGAGCTTCATTCTGCAGTCAAGAGTCAGTCCAGCTAGTAACACCTCCAAGAAGTCTAATCTTTTATAATTCCAGCCAGCATTCATTTTTCCCCTTCTATCTCATTGGTAATGTTAAATTAAGCATTTTATAGTGAACCCTTTCCTAAATTGTTTCTTAAGTTTATATTATCTCTCTTTGCTTCTTTACTATCTTTACCCCCAAAGATGTAAGCAGAAGATAAAATTGTGTTTAATCCTACAGGACCTGCCACAGTACCAGAAACAAAGTAAGCACTCCAGCAATGTTTGTTTAAAAGTGACTGAAAGCAATCCAAAACGTCAAAACTTAAAGGAACATGATCTTGGAAAGGAATGAACTATAGAAAGGGGAGGAGAAAATTCTGCTTACAACCTCACCTCAAAGCATTTTTAGATTCTCAAGTCGTGCATCCATGAGAGAGGCTTACAGAACCCTGGGGAAAGCATCACAGGGAGAGAGAGAGTTGCTGACCAGCAACATTTACAGCCTTGCAGACTCGCAGAACTGTGGAAGTAAAGTTTGGAATTCTGGGGCAGCCAAGGTCATGGGTAAAAACTTGGGGGTTTGAGACCCTCCCAAAAGGGCTACAATGTGGCTTAGGTACTATGTTTTAGAAGTAAGGGCAGACTGGAGAAAAGCCAGCCAAGACAGATCCTGGAGCCTGGCCTTGTTTGGATTAAGGTGAGCTTCCACTAGCAGAAGAGTACTAAGAGAGCCAGTGAAAAGAATATTCAAACACTCCTTAGAAAGATAACATCATCCACAGTCACTATAAAGGTTTAAAATAGATAGATAGATAGATAGATAGATAGATAGATAGATAGATAGATAGATAGATAGAGATAGATAGATAGATGTATATATAAACATTGGTCATTCAGTGATTAAAATTTACACAAGATGATTGAAGTCTAATTTATATAACAATAAAACACAATGCAAATTTTACCATTTGATGAGCTTTTATGAATGGATCCACCCATATAAACATCACAGCATTCAGAAAATAGAATATTTTCATCACTCCATAAAGCTCCTTTACAATGCTTTGCTGAAAATTTCATACCCCTCTTCCCCGCCTTCCAAACACCGAAGGCATTACTTTTTCACTTTCTTAATGTTGTCTTTCAAAGAGCAACTAATCTGCCACTTCAAATTAGTTTGACCTGTTCTAGAATTTCACATATGTATAAAATAATGTGATATGTGCTTGTGACTTATTTTTGTTGCGGTGGTCCTTTTTAATCATTGAGTAGTATGCGTTATCTGAATATCTCACAACAATTTGATTTTCCATACAATTGTTTTTGGACATTTTGATTGTTTCTAGTTTGAAGCTATTATAAGTAAAGCAGCCATGGACATGCATATACAAGTCTTGTGTGTGTGTTTAATTTCTCTTGGCCTGGGAGTGCTATTGCTATCACCTGGTAAGAGTACGTTTAACTCCATAAAAAACATTTTCCAAAGTAGTTTGTACTCTCAAATAGCAACAGATGATGGATCCAGCTGCTCCACATCCTTGCCAAAATGTGGTTTTCAATCTTTATTTTTTATTTTTAGCCATTTCAGCGATTGTATATTGATATTTCTTTGTGATCTCCCTTTGCATTTCCTTAATGACTAATGATATTGAGAATTTCATAGCTTTTATTTTTTTATTTTACTTTTTTTGAGATGGAATCTCACTCTTGTCACCCAGGCTGCAATGCAATGGCATAATGTCAGCTCACTGCAACCTCTGCCTCTGGAGTTCAAGCGATTCTCTTATCTCTGCCTCCCATGTAGCTGGGACTACAGGTGTGCACCACCACGCCCAGGTAATTTTTGTATTCTTAGTAGAGATGGGGTTTCATCATGTTGGCCAGGCTGGTCTAGAACTCCTGACCTCAGGGGATCTGCCTGCCTTGGCCTCCCAAATTGCTGGGATCACAGGTGTGAGCCACCGTGCCTGGTCTTTTTTGTTTTTAGATTCTCACATTTTAATCTTTATTGAAATAAGACTTGGAACTCTTGTTTCTTACCCATGGTTCCTTTTTGTTTGTTTGTTTGAGACGGAGTTTCACTCTTGTCACCCAGGCTGGATTGCAATGGCACGATATCAGCACACTGCAACCTCTGCCTACCAGGTTCAAGAGATTCTCCTGCCTCAGCCTCCTGAGTAGCTAGGACTACAGGTGCCTGCCATCATGCCCAGCTAATTTTCGTATTTTTAGTAGAGATGGGGTTTCACCATGTTGGCCAGGCTGGTCTTGAACTCCTGACCTCAGATGATCCACCTGCCTTGACCTCCCAAAGTGCTGGCATTATAGGTGTGAGCCACCATGCCCAGCCTAGCTTCTTTCCTAAAGAGCTTCTTTCCCATTTTTTTTAATTGAATTATTTTGCTTCCTATTGAGTTATAAGGGTTCCTTGTCAGATGTATGTACTGGGGATATTTTCTCCCAGTCTGTTGCTTACTTTATTATTTACATAATTTTGTCTTTCAAAGAGCAGAAGTTTATAATTTTAATTGGTTCAATTTATCAATTGTTTTCTTTTATGGCTAGTATTTAAGGTTTCTAAAAAAATTTTGCCTGTAACATAATCAGAAATTTTCTCCTATGCTTTCTTCAAAAAGTTTTAGATTTTAGCTTTTAGTTAAGGTTCATAACCTATTTCATATTCATGTTTATGTATGATGGGAGTGGAGGATTGAAGTTTTTTTAATGTGGCTATTCATTTGTCCCAGCATGATTGTTGAACACTATTGTTCTTGCATTTCGTTACTTAGCGTCTGTATTGAAAATCAATTCACTGCTGATGTGTGAATCAATGTCTAGATTCTCCATTCTGTTCCAATGATCCATGTATCTACACCGTATACCAGTACTAACCTGTCTTAATCAGTTTGTATTCCTTATTTTAAATCTTAAAAGCAGCATATGTTCTTCAACTTCCTTTTTTTCTTTTTTTCAAAATTGTTTTGGCTCTTTCAGGTCCTTTCCGTGATTAATTTTAGAATCAGCTTGTCAATTATATATTTTTTAAAGTACTAAAATTTGGACTTGGATTGTGTAGAGCCTGTAGATTAAACTGAGAATTTATGTCTTACTATTATTGAATCTCCCAATTCATGATCGTGATATATCCTCTATTTATTTAGGGTTTTAATTTCTCTCAGCATTGTTTAGTATATTTCAGTAAAGAGTTCCTAAACACATATTCTTAAATGTATCCCTAAGTATTCCATGTATTCTAGATGATGTTGTAAATATAAATATTTTATATTTGAATTTTCCAATTTAACTGTTAATAGTTTATTTTTTATTACTGCTCTTATAGCCAGAGGCCTTGAAATATTCAATTAGTCCAAAAGTTTTTGTACATTTTTTAGAATTTAATATATATATAATTATAACATCTGTAAATTTAGAGAATTTTACTTCTTCCTTTACAATCTATATACATTGTACTTTTCTTGAATTTTTACAATGGCTTCCAGAACAAACTTTAATGAAAATGACGAGAGCATATATCTTTATTTTGTTATCCATTTCAAGGAGAAAGTTTTAAGTTTCTCACAATTAAACATGTTAGCTCCATGTTTTTCAAAGATGTATTTTATCAAATTAAGTACCCATTTATAAATTCTGAAAATATTATAAATCAGTGTAAATTTTGTAAAATACTTTATATGACTTTAATAACATTTTATTTTCTTATTCCTGTTTTAATATAGTGAATTACATTGATTATTTTTTAAATGTTGAACAAACTTTTCATTCCAAGAATAAACACAATTTGGTCATAATGCATTGCCTTCTTTATGTATTCAATTCGTATTCAATTTGCCAATGTACACTTGAGGAATTTTGTGTCTGTGTTCATAAGAGATATTGGTATACAATTTTCATGTGATGGTTTTATTTAGTTTTGAATCATGGTAACACTGTACTCATACAATAACTTCACTCAATGTCTTCATACAGTGACCCTACTTTTATTCCTGATACTAGTAATTACTATCTTTTATTTTGAATTGATTCATGTATCTCAAAGGTTATCAATTTCACTGAACGTTTCAAATAATCAGTTTGGAGTTTAATTTATTCTTACCTGTTTTTCAAACATTTGCTATTTCAATGATTTTTGCTTTTTAGCCTTTCCTTTCCTTATTAACTTTGGATTTAATTTTTTTTTCTATTTCTGTCCTCTCAAGGAGAAAGCTTAGATCATTGATTTTTAGAGCTTTTGTTCTCTAATATAAAAATATAAATTTCCCTTTAAACAATGCTTTAGATTTATACTACAAATTGTATATTGTTATTTAATTTTTATTCAGTTCTAAATATTCTCTCATTGCCCAATTCTTCTTTTACCTATAGCCAAAGTTTCAAGGGGACACCTATGCAAGACCTTGAAATAATTTATTTTCATAGCTTTCTTCTGTATAGTACTCTGCTCTGCAGATTTTGACTGTTTCATCATCTCCAAAACCCAGTCTCTGTCTCACCGAAGCCAGGCCACCATGTCCTGCTTGGCTTTCTTTTCTGCACTATAATATGGAATAATGCCTCCAGGCAGGCAGCAAGCATGGCCCAAGGGTTTATCTCATTTACTTTTCTTTTATCAAAGATCACAGTCTTGTCTTGCCTGGTTTCCAATGTCAGGAAATATTTATGTCATATATTCAGTCCAAATTTCCAATTACTCCATCATGGCTAGAAGAAGAATTCTGGCTATAATTTTGCTGAACATTTGACATTGACTAGAAAAGTAATAGTTACGCCAAGAAACAAAAAAAAAATGATCCAAAACCAAAGTAAAAGACAATGGAAACAAAAGTATCTGTGGTTGAAATACTGGAGATTGCAGACAAGGGCTTTGAAACAGCTATAATTTGTTTGTTCAGATAATTTATAAAAAAAAAATTTACTAATTATATAAATATATTAAGAGTCTTAGAGCTGGAATATGACAAATAAAATTAACATTAGACATGAATTTAATACTGTTTAGCAGAAAAACATACAAGAACATAGGGATTATGCTATATATATATATGCTATATGTGAACCGGAAGAGAGTTGTATTAGTTTTCTATTAATGCAAGTTTACAGAAATTATTATTGTGGTAATTATTACAAATTGCCACAAACTTTAGAGTCAAAACAACACACATTTTTAATCTCTCAGTCTCCATAGGTGCAGAATTTGGACATAGTTTAGTTGAGTCTGCTCAAGGCTCACCAAGGCTGCAAGCCAGGTGACAGCTGGCAGGTTGTGGTATTATCCAAGGCTTGACTGGGGAAAGGTCTGCCTCTCAACTCCCTCTGGGCTGTTGGCAGAATTCATATCCTTGCAAATGTGGGCTGAAGTTCCTGTTTTCTTGCTGGCTGTCATTCAGCAGCACTCTCAGCTCCTAGAGGCCATCTTTTTCAAAACCGACAAAGAGACTCTCTCACTCAGTTCTGCTAAGACAGTCCTACATAACAAAATCTAATCCAAGGAGTAACTTTCTATCACCTTTGCCATATTTGATTGGCTAGGAGCAATCACAGGTTCTACCCACAGTCAAGGGCAGGGATGACAAGTTAGAGTGACTTATTGGAGGGTGACCCTAGGATATGTCTGCCACAAGAGTCATAAAATATCCAATTAAAACCAGAAAATTTAAGACAGATAGATAAGTAGATAGGAAGAGAGATAGATGATAGATAGCTAGAGAAATAGAGAGATGGATGATAGACTATAAATATAGATATAGATATATATTAGAAAGCATAGATGTCATTATAGAAGACATGAGCAACACAGGAAAAACATGTATGTTAAATTGAAGAGGTAAACGGGAGAAATATTTGAAAAAACACTAGTTGACAAAATTTCAAAAAAAAACCTAAAAGCATCACATCACTTCTTCAAAATCTTTATAAACCCTAAGCAGGAAAGATATGAAGGGAACCACACCCAGGCACTTTATACTCGGGCCAAAGGAAAACAAAAGAAAGAAAAAAAATTTAGAACACAATCAGAAATAAAGGAAACATTTCCTTCAAAGGAGTAATTATCAGACACCGAAGAGCTTTCTCACATAAAACCGTGAAAGCCAGAAGACAGTGAAATAGCATCTTTAAAGTGCTGTAATAAAATTTTGCCAAATGAGAATTTGATACCAGCAAATAACATATATATATTATATACATATATACATATATAATACATATAATATATACATATATACATATATATGAATGAGATATATATAGCTCCTTTAAAAGAGATGAGATGTAAAAGATAAAACTGACAAAGTTTATAGAATAAATCACAAAAAAGCAGCCATGTTTTGGGGAATAGGCAAAGATTTCTGAAACAGACCTACAAAGTGCTAATCATAAATAAAAGGACTGATGATTGGATTACATTAAAATGAAGACTTCTGTTCATCACAAGATACCATTAATGAGTGACAATCCAAGGCATGGAATGGAGGAAGGTATTTTCAACACATTTACTTAACTAACATTTATACCCAATGTATAAAAAACTTCCAAGCCAATTTTAAAAGGCAGGCAAATCAATTTTTTTTAAAGTAAGCAAAGGATTTGAATAGGCACTTCATTCAAGAGGATATAAGATTGGCCAATAAATGTAAGAAAATATCGTTCCCATCGTAAGTGTTGAGAAAATAAAAATTAAAACCACAATGTGATACCACTGCATATACTCATCAGAATCCTTGAATAGCTCAAGTCAGATGCACTTATACAACGAAATATTACATGTCAATCAAAATGAGAAATATACAACTAAGGACAACAACCTGGATACCTCTCACAGACTCAATATTGAGCACAAGAAGCTAAACAGAAAAGAATATAAATGAGTCCACTTACATAAACTTAAAAAGCAGGCAAAACTAATCCACAAAAAAGTCAGATTAGAAATGACATATGGGAGAGGGTGGTATTAATTGGGTACTAGAATGGGGATGATTTCTGGGACCCTGGTCTCGTTCTACACTCTAATCTAGATGTTTGTTATGTATACACATGCAAAATTTAATCAAGCTGTACATCAAATATTTGTTTATACTATATCTGTTATATTCAATGAAAATGGCAACAAAAAGCAAAATTAAACAATAGAAAATCCCCTTTTTCACATACTGTAATATAACACTGGCCTGCAACAGGAGAAGATGAAAAGAAGTAAAATGAATTTGGTAAACACACATTTATTTTCTCTGTGAAGATAAAATGAAGGAAAAACATTGCAATAAGAGAAGAGAATGCGATGAGAGTAATTTGAAAAATATTTTAAATTACTTATGAATACCATCTATTATCACTATTATCACAATGTGAACATTATTTCTATTAGAAAGATTCTTCATCCTCCTAAGCACCAGCTGTCTAAATTTGCTGAAACTAATATTGATATATTGAGTGCTTAGGATAAGTCAGAGTCTGCAATAATCATTTTCAATGCATTACCCCAATTTACACTCTCAACAAGCCTATAAAGTGGGTGCATGTACTATTATTAGTGTCATTTTATACATGAGAAAACTGAAGTTTAAATAGGCTTAGTAACGTGAACAAAGTCATGCACGAATGTGTGGCAGGACTAGTTGCTTAGAGCAGTGCCTGTCATATTGAAGGCACTCAATGGATAGTTGCCGAAAAAAATGAAAAAGGGTTCTAACCCTCTTAATCTATGCCCTATATTTATAACAAACCATCCTGCCTCTCAAATGGAAACCTAAAATATAATGCAAAATTAGCCCAAACTTCAAGATGTAGGTGATCATTAGATAGCTCATTATGTATTAATATAGTATTTGTTAGTATATTCATCTTAGTAACTGTTTTGATACCACTATCTCTTGACTCATTCATTCAGCAACCATTTATTCAGCATCTGCCATGTACCAGGGTTCTGGGGGCAAGAAAAACTTCCTCCCCTCCTGGAGCAAACAATTTGGAGAGGGAAGACAAATAAGTCAGATAAGTTTAGAGAGTGATACACGCTATTAGGAGAGTAAAGAGACTACATGCCTACTTTAATAAAGATGTTCAGGGTAAATCTCTCCAAAGAGGCAACCTAAATGACAAAACAGAGGCCAGCCAAGCAAAGACCTGGAGAAAGTACATCCCATGAAGGGAGGCAGTAAGCAAAAGGGCTCCAGGCCCACTGGGTAAGTTTAAGGGACTCCACATTGGTGAGCAAAGGTGCCCTTTAACATCCACATTTTTAAAATGTTTTCTTGAATTGTACTTATAATACTGCCTGTGCATGCTCTGCATTGAAAGTCAAGTGGGAATCTTACTAGCAATTCTCAGGCTCTGCTACATAAGCAGCAATTTCTCTCTGCCCCTCAATTTGCATATTGAACTTAGAAAAGGAAAGCCCTGATATCTACTGGACCCACTGGTCCTAGAATACGTTTAGTGAGCACCTATTTGAGCATGCCTCTTGTGGTGTATCTTCAACTACGATCCCTGAGGCTGATTTTCAAACTTCTATCTGGTCCCTGGTATGTTGTTAAAATGCAATTCTGGTTCAGGTGGGCTGGGCAGGACCTGGGATTCTGCATTTCTGACACACTCGCAGGGGATGCCTGTGCCCGCTGGTCCTTAAACCACACGTGGAGTAACAAGATCTTGGAAGACTTCGGATAAATACTATCTCTATCTTCCAGTGATATTTAAAAGCCTGTAGATTCTCACTGCCTGTCAGAATGGGACCCTGGGCAATGGCACAGATGGTCTGCTTCTTAATCTGGCTCTGGTTGTGATAATTAACTTAAATAGCATATGTGAAAAGACTTTACACATATTAAGTGCACAATTAATATTATTTGTATGTAGTGAAAAGTCAACAGCCTCAAATAAAAACTGAATTACTGATGATGGCACTATTAAAATTATGCCTTAGTGAAATAAGTTTTTAAATACAGTGGACTTCTCATGTCTTTATGTACAAAATGGGATCAGTTAACATATGGCACACTTTTTCTGTGTTCAGCATTGTGTTAAACACTGGGAGAATAGCAATAGTTATACAGAAGAGTCTCTGCCCTCAAGGATCTCCAATACAGTTGAAAGAGTGAAAAAAAAAATCATTAAAGAGAGAACATAATTAGCTGCTGATTAATATGACAGCAACAGCACGTTATTACTATGGGAGATCAGAGGCAAGCCAGATTAGTGAGGTCTGGTGTTGACTTCCTGTTCTATATCCCACTATGAGCAAGCCTGATGAGGGTAAGGAGACCACTCTAAGCCACAGGCCACCTTGATTTCTCCATTCCCAGGCCAATTCACAAGGTCCAAGAAGGACGAGCTTTCATCTTTTCCCAGTGTGGTGTTTCCTGATTGCAGCAATGTCTGGGGAATAGATGAGACAATGTGAGACCATGTAGACATACAACTACATGCTGTATTCACCATATAGACCTGTCAAAGCACAATGGAAAAAGCGATAGGGCTGCAGGTCTTCAGAAGTTCTCAAATACACATGCTTGGGGTGGGGGTGTGTGTGTATACATACATATATCACACATACTTTGATATACTTTGAGATTCCTTATATTTTTATCTTTTGTACCCTTCCTGCCTCCAGCCAAGTTCCACTCAGAATTGATCTTGGGGCATGTCCAGTGTTTCATATACCAGGTTTTTAATTATTTTTTTTAAAAGAGGTTTGATAGCCAAATCTACTATATTTGCATATCTATAGTCATTATCTGATGATTATCCAAATACTAATTGATTTCCTTCCAAGTGCAGGTAAACTATAATACAGTCAGACCTGTAAAACATCTGACATTTACTTTCCATTTATTGGTTGGTGTAAATTTGCATTTCTAATATTCCTTCACTTTTATGGGGTGTGGGAGGGTGTGTGTCTGCACATTTCCTCTTCAGATTTTTAAAAATAAGTCTACCTATTTCTAAAATACAATTTGGGCATGAATGCAATCACATATTTTGTCAACAATGTTACTGCTCATTATTTTACTTTCCAACACCTGGAATAGTAAATAAAGGCCCCATAAAAGAGATTGATCTTAAACCGAACCTTACAAAACAGACCAGACTTTCAGAGGGACAACTTTGGGGACAGAGATGTGAGAAGCTTCCATGTAAGTAAAATAGCAGGAGTGCTCGGACAGAAAAGGACATTTAACTAAATCTGATAGTGAAAGTTGAGATGAAATAAAGAATAAGATTTAACAGAACCAGCAAAGCCATATAGGGGAAGATCTTAATTGCTAGGCAACCATAGGACTTAAAAAGCAGGGAAAAAAATATCCTGAGTGTTAGATTTCAGAGAATGACATGAAATAAACAATGGGTATAAAAAAGGAAACCTGAATTTTTGGAAACTTGAATGTATTGGGATTATATAGGCATAAAGGAACTTGGACCCAGAGTAGAGTTGAAACTAACTAGAGGGACAATGAAGAGGATGAAAATGAATTGTTGTGCCTTCTTATCTATTTCATAGAGTATGCAAAGAGCCACATGGATGACACATGCCACTTGAGAATATCCAGAAATTTCATGGATACTTCCTGGATACCTTATTTTCTACCATTCCAGAGTAGAATAAATCAAATTTACTTTCAAATTCAGAAAATACTTACCATTGCTTAAGTCTTCAACAGACAACCCTTGAGCGTGCTCGTGCTTTTGGGACTGAAATATCATAGATATCTCAGATTGCCAGATTCTTTGAAGCACTAGAAGCAAACACTTGACCACAATGTATTCTCAGCACCTTTTGACTATACAAGCTTCCACATCTCATTTCTGGGAAGGCTGTACAGGAATCTTGACTTTTCGTGCGTATGTACTATGTTTGAATATAAGAGATTCGTGGTTTCACAAAGTCTGCAGAAATGTGTTTCCACCTCACCATTTACTTGCCAGAGGCAAATGGTGAATATAATAGATTCTTGGACTAACGTAATTTGGAACAGCATCTAGAAAATCTAATCTTCTTCCTATCCCTTTCTATCCATCACCTGGACTCAGTTATACTCTCTTCTAGGGCATGGCATCTAAGAGCTTTCAGAATCAGTGTTCTGCCTAATCTTCTGAATTCTAAACCCTTACCATTTCTTGCCTTAAAATTTTCATATAACAATAAAAAATGCATGAGTGCATGTGTTCATGGTGTTAAATGACTGAGTGCCTGTGTTCGCCGTGATTACTAAAGTCATTACCACTGTAAACCTCTTGTAATTCACCACATATTCTTACAGACTCTCTCTTCCATACGTTCTATCCTGATCACTCATTTACTTGTAATTCTTTTCCTGTTGCCTTCTCCCATTCCTATTGAACAATTCATTTCTAAGATAAAAGATACTCCTAATTGTGCATCTATTTTTTATTTCTCTAATATCTAATGATCAATTCATCCTTAGGATTCATCTTAGCCCTTACCTCTCCTGACTTATGCTAGTATATTCCAGTCTGTAATGAGATGTTGCTGTCTTACATCTGTGCCTTCATGCTTTACACATATCTCCATAAAAACATGTAGACATAATGTATTGCAATTATCTTTTTGTAAGTCTCCTTCACTGTAGATGCCTTAAGGGAGAAGACTCTTTATATTTCCAGCAGTTAATAGAGTGGCTAGGAAAAAGGCAGTGCTCAATAAATATTTGCTGATTAAATGACTGAGTGCATATGTTCATTGTGATTACTAAAATCATTACCACTGTAAATATGAACAGCAATTTCATCTAGCCTCTTGAGTCAAAATTTGGAACTCCAGTTTCATAGTGAAATTTACTTCCTATAACATCTTGAAATACAAAATGAAAACTTAGCAGAAGCTCCATCTTCAGGAGTCTTGGAAACAACTATGTAGGACAGGTTGATGAAACAGGAGTTTTCTCAGGAAATTTTCCAATGATCTATGAACAAACATCAGTCTCCAAAAACCATCTCAGAAAAACGAGGAACTCTGGATAGATAGTTGAGTACAGTTACAGCATACATTTCTAAAGATTCCAGAAAGGCAGAGTAGTATAGTGGTTAAAAGTATACACCCTTGTGATCAGAATGCCTTGATTATAATTCCCATTCTCACTATTATTAGCTTAATATAACTCATAACCAAGTGACTTAGCTTTTCTCTGTCTCAGCTTTCCCCTCTCTAAAATGGGGGTAATAAAAGTTCCTAATCCCAGGACTGTTATTGATGTGATGTGTTAATACCTATTCATACCACTTATTAATAGAACGTTATCTGCCCAACAGTAATCATTCAGGCCATTTTGGGGAAAGAGATAGTGGTAGTGCTAACAGCATTCCCCTTCTTCATGTGGAAAAAGTATTTTAAAAACACAGCAACTTAGGAAACCAGAATATGCCTGAGGATCCAGGTTCAAGAAAGAAGGTAAATTCATTGACATTCAATTATTTTAAGATCCTTGAGACTACATTTTGACAGATTATTTAGGTTCACTGTGTATTTAGTATCTTGTTATAGGTAAGTGTTAAGAGAGAAGCAAGCTGTGCACATAATAGGAGTATATTTTAATGCATCTGCAGGGTATGAAATACAGCAAAAATATACAAATACAGTCCTCAATACTATGACTCATTTTCAAAGTTTGTTATCAGAAGAATATAAATTTTATGAATTGACAATCTCTCCTAATAAACAGAACATAGTAATAAGTTATAAATGAGCTATCTGAAACAACTGTATTGTATTAGCAGAGGTGACAAACTAAGGATAAACAACCAAACTTCCCCAAGACTTGCCTTTTTGTTTTGAGACAGGGTCTTGCTCTGTCACCCAGGCTGGAGTGCAATGGCGTAATCTCGGCTCACTGCAGTCTTGACCTCCTGGGCTCAAGCAATCCTCCCACCTCAGCCTCCCAAGTAGCTGGGTCCTCAGGCATGCACCACTAGGCCTGGCTAATTTTTTGTATTTTTTGGTAGAGACGCATTTCGCCATGTTGGCCAGGCTGTTCTCAAACGCCTGAACTCAAGCAAGCCAGTCCCGCCCTCCGCACCCCGCCTCTGCTGGCCTCCCAAAGTGTTAGGACTACAGGCATCAGGTATTAGCCACTGCCCCCACCCCACCCCCTGCAAGATTTGCCTCTTTACTGTTTTCTCCATTTCACTGAAAGCCTATTCGCCACCTGGCTTTGGTGTGCTGAAAACTGTTTATAATCACCCAGGCATTTCCCAGATATGCCATTTCCCCTCCTCTCTACCTGAAACACAGACAGTTCAAGTCTGGGACCACACTAATTTTGCTAAATTCTTCTATCAAATGTTGATCTCTCTGAGGGCAAAGTTTCTAGTTCTATTTTTCTTGTATTTCCAATGACTATAAAGATTTTGTAAAGATGTTTAATTTATTTTTACTTAAGCTTTCCCAATGAGAACTACATTTTACCCAACTTTTATAAATTTAAATTGATTTGGTTTAGTTTCATGATGCTATTATAAAATGTTTTCTAAATTTTATATATGTATAAAATATATGTATACATTATATATGTATATATTTTATATGTAATACATGCATGTATTACATATATACAACATATATTAACTTTTGTGCTATAAATTATAGTCTCTGCCCTTGAGACAGTTAAATAATTGGGGAAAGAGAACATAAGCCAAAACAATTTTAGATGTTTACATAAAATTTTTAATTGCATGGCAATCGCTTAGTGAGTCACTGATTCATCTGATAAAATTCAGAAAATGTTTAACATTCGCCAGATCTGAGAGTTTTACTCTCAGATGACAAGCAGGATTCCTTTTTTCATGGAACTTGTGGCCTAATGAGAGAGAAAAATAATAAAATAAGAAATTACAATAAAACACAAAACACTGCACAATAGGGAAAGTATCTCCTAGTATCTGCTAACAGGACCTGTAGAAGGTTCAACTAATCAAGTCTGTAGGTCCAAGGGAAAACCCTGTTCAGTTAAGATTATGTTTGCTGCAAGTAACAGAGATCTAAAATAATAGTAATGTAAACAATGTAAAAACGCATTGCTGGCTTATGCAAACATCTGTAGGCAGGCAGTTGTGCAGCAAGGCTCTGAATCCACTCGGGAGCTGGGCTGTCTTATCTTGCTGCTACACCCTTCTTAGCAAGCTATCTCAAGAGCCAAGATGACTGCTAAGGTTACAGCAAACATTTCCACACTCCAAACAATGGGAAGGATGAAGGAAATAGGTGGTGCTTTCTAGGAGTCACACAACACTCCCAGTTACCTCCTATTGGGCATTAACAAGACCCTCACCCAGCTCCAAGAGAGGCTTAATTTTTTCAGTTTTGACCAGTTAAAAATAGGGTTTCTATCACAAAACTATAGTGTAAGAAAATATGAATTAAATGATATAGAAAATGTATCAAGATGGTTAAGAAATATGACATTCTCTCAGAAAACAATCTGCAAGAACACATTGTCTTTTTAGCTTAAAACTTTAAATATTAAAATTCAACAGGATGAAAAGCAATCCAACTTAAAAGTGAAAGATTGAGCAGACACGTGTCCAAAGAAGATATATACATGACAAATAAGCACATTAAAATATGCTCCACCTCATTTGTCATTAGAGAAATGAAAATTAAAATAAGGAGTTACCACTGCACACCTACTAGAACTATTAGAACCACTAAATTCTAAAAATATGACAACACCAATTGCTGGCAAGGATGTGAACCAACAGGAACTTTCATTCATTGCTGTTGGGAATGCAAAATGACACAGCCACACTGGAAGACAGTTTAACAGTTTCTTATAAAGTTACTTACAGTCTTACAGTATCATCCAGCAATCATGTTCCTAGATTATCCAACTGATTTGAAAATTTGTGTGCATACAGAAATCGCTATATGAATGTTTATAGCCACTTTATTCATAATTACCAAAAACAGGAAGCAATTAAATGTCCTTCAATAGGATATACAAAGTATAGTACATCCATAAAATGAAATACTATTCAGGGACACAAAGGATTAAGCTATAAACCTATTCAAAGACAAAGATGAATCTTAAATGCTACATGAAAAAGCCAGTCTGGAAGAGCTACATATTATATAGCCTCATTTATAGGACATTCTTGAAAAGGTAAAACTGTAAAGACAAGAAACAGATGAGTGACTGCCAGAGCTTCTAGGTAGCAAGGATGGGATGTTAATAAGTGAAGCACAGGGAAGTTCTTAGGGCAGTGAAATAGTTCTGTATGATACTGTAATGATGGATACAAGATACTGTGTATTTGTCAAAACCCATAAAAATATGCAGTACAAAGAATGAACCTTAATGTATGCAAATTTAAGATGATAATAATTTAGGAGGTTCGGAAATCCCAAGATGGGATGTAGAATGTGACACTGAAACTGTATTACAAATGTTTGCAACAACCTCACCGAAGAAGATGCGGCAAATCTTTCTTAGATCATGTTTAAGGCGTCTCTGAGACTAAAAGCAAAAGGAACTGCCTAATTTAGTTGATAACATTTCCCAACTGGGCAATAGTAATGAACCAATAACACACGTGCACTGAAACTGAACAGTTTAGCAAACAATAGTGGTAGATGCAAGCCAGGATCCTCATTGTTAGAGTGGGAGGTCACAGATAAACAAGGGAAGAAGGACAGAATGATGCATGAGGTAGTGAGTTAAAATTGGAAACTTTAGTGTGAACTCATGTTTGGCTAAATATAGGTACAGATGGCTACCTATGGAAATATTGATAGATATGTGTATATGTACACACACATACATTTCCTTGCTTTGTCAGCTGATAAGGCCTAAAAGTAATGAAACCTGTTATCAGTGAGCATAGCTAACACTCAATTCTTGGTTTCTAATACTATTTTCTAATAAATAAAACTAAAAGCTGATCCTAGGACTAAGACAAGAAATATATAAGAAGAGCCTAGAGTACATTTTGATGCCAAAATAAAGAAGTAAGGAAGTGCTCAAAAATAGCAGCAACAAGAACATAAAAAAACCAAAAAGCAAACAATGGAAATATGGCAAATGTCTTTTGGAACCAACTGAAAGAAGTCTCAATGATGAATGCTCAAAAGATGATAAAAAGAAACTAAATAAAGTAGCAGTGGATTATAACCCAAGTATTCTATATATATATATAATATACATAATATATAATTATATATAATATGTTATAATATTATATATATTAAATAATATATGTTATATAATATATATTATATAATTTTTATATATTTTTAAATATATATTTATATATATATTTTTATATATATTTGTATAATTATATATTATACAAATATATATACATATATTTGTATTTTATAATTATACAAATATATATACATATATATTTATATATTTTATAATTATACAAATATATATACAAACATATATATTTGTATTTTATATATTATATAAATATATATGTATAATACTTCATATAATATATATTACATATATAATATATATATTATATATAATATATATAATATATATTATATATAACATATATTATATGCCAGTGTATATATATACTTACATGTATGTCCATACTGATATGAATACATGAATAAATAAATAAATGGAAGGCAAATCCCCCATGCAGAAGAATTCCAAACAATTTATGTAGCTATTCAAGGAGGTAGAGCTTAATATTCCATTCCTAAACTGTTGCTGTGCATATTGATTTCCTTCCAAAGAATATTTTCTGGGAAAAGAGAAAAGAAGTCACTTTACAGTAAATAAATTTGACAAATGACCACAGCCAGGCAATCAAGGTTGATATCAACAGCAGTAAGTTGTGTTAATAGTATTGTACCCTTAAAGGTGTGATGAGAATGATATTCATCTCTGTGTTTTTCCTCCCAAAAATCCAAAACCATCACCCGGTCTACTCATGAGAAAAGCACCAAATTCCAGTTGAGGGATATTTTACAGAACACCTGACCAGTATTCCTCAAAACTGCCCTCGTCATCAAAAACAAGGAAAAACTAGAAAAATCACAGCAAATAGTTTACTAAGGAAACGTGAGGACTAGGTGTAATGTAGCATTTTGCATGGGCTCCTGAAAAAGAAAAGGACATTAGGTGAAAACAAAGAACGTCTCAATAATATGTATGGACTTTATATAACAAAAATGTATAAATACAGGTTCACTAATTTGACAAATGTGCCATTCTAAAGTGAGATATTAATAATAGAGAAAACTGGATATGGAGTATATGAGAACTCTCTGCCCAATTTTCCTAATTTTTATGTAAATTTAAAATGATTTTAAAATAAATTTTATTTTTAAAAAGATAACTGACCTGCATTAAGCTGTCTAAACCTAAAAATTATTTAAATACTTAAACCACTAATAGTGGAGTAATTTTGAGTCTTCAATGTATCCATCATTCCTATTTAAAGCCTCAAAAATGTCTGAGAGGGATAATGTTATTGTTTTATTAAATTCTATTCAAGAAACTATTACATTAATAAATAGAGTTAACAATGGCAACGGTGATATGACACTGAAGACATTTAGAAAAATTTGGCCAAATAACCCAGAGGTTTAAGATTAGCTTCATGAATGGTTATGTGCGAAGCTAACCACATGGTGTGTAATGGTTTCTATTATCACTGGTTGAGGCGTGAGTATTCCTATAATCATAATGTGATTTCTTTTTACAACTCATAATGGAAACTTTTTTTATAATTGAACTTTTTTGTATGTGAGAATCATGTACAGCAGAGGAACTGAACATTTCAAGAATATAATGAGAGTTCAGTTTAAGATTTTACAAGGGACCACACATTTGAAATATTGAAAAGGAAGCATGCTAACTGGGGAAAATGAATTGGTTTTCTCTCCTGCTGGCCTCATAGGAGATACAGTAAGCCGAGAAAATCCAGTTGTACTCTTGCCAAAGAGTTTCATGTGTCAGAGAAAAGATGCTCTGTAGGACTCTGTTTCAATAAAAGAGGTCAAACTATACTTTGCGTATAAGCATGCCCGTGTACATGTAATATAAGAGAAAAAATGTAAATGTGAAAGCATACATTCAGAACACTTTCATCTCAGGATATTTTTCTATATTAGAACTCCAAAATAAAATGCTCCCATGTAAGAATGTGGAGTCAGGATGTTAGTAGGTATATTCTAACAAAATTTATACCTGCTATTAATTCTGTGCCAAATATCCAAACTTTCACAATCCAAGTTTAAGTCCATTTTTTCACTTTTTAAAAATTTGTATTGATACTTATTAGATGTACATATTTTGGGGCCACATGTGCTAATTGGATACCCTCGTATGATTAAATCACCTTAAATATTTATCTTTTCTTTATGCCAGGAATATCTGAGTTATTCTCTTCTAGCTATTTTGAAATGAACAATTCATTAATGTTAACTATAGTCAATCTACTGTAAGAGTCTTATTATTACAACTTTTCAATCCCCCTTGGTGGTATCGATTGAAAAACTCAAAATTCTTTTTTTTTTCCCCCCATGACAGGGTGTGGCTCTGTCACCCAGGCTGGAGTGCAGTGGTGCAATCTCTGTTCACTGTAACCTGCGCCTTCCTGGCACTAGTGATCCTCCTGCCTCAGCCTCTTAAGTAGCTGGGACCCCAGGAACATGCCACCATGCCCGGGTAATTTTTGTATTTTTTTTGGTAGAGACGGGGTTTTGCCTTGTTGCCCAGGCTGATCTCGAACTCCTGGGCTCAAGCAATCGCCTACCTAGGCCTTCCAAGGTGCTGGGATTACAGGTGTGAGCCACCGTGCCTGGCCTCTAAATTCTTTAAAACAATATACATACTTAAATTTTTGTAAAATTCCATTTGAATTCAGCGAGGAGCTTAGATTATATGATGGAAAGTCGTGGATGCATATGAGTCATCTAGGCGAGGTATTAGGTGAAAAGGTGGGACCAGAGGCTATTCTAAAGGCAAAACCCATGGCTAGAAGAAAGCCGAGGGAAGACAATCAGGAAAATCCAACTTTGGGCCAGGCGCGGTGGCTCATGCCTGTAATCCCAGCACTTTGGGAGGCCGAGGCAGGCAGATCACGAGGCCAGGAGATGGAGACCATCCTGGCTAACATGGTGAAACCCCGGCTCTACTAAAAACACAAAAACAAAATTAGCCGGGCGTGGTGGCGGCCGCCTGTAGTCCCAGCTACTTGGGAGGCTGAGGCAGGAGAATGGCGTGAACCTGGGAGGCGGAGCTTGCAGTGAGCCGAGATAGTGCCACTGCACTCCAGCTTGGGCAACAGAGCAAGACTCCATCTCAAAAAAAAAAAAAAAAAAAAAAAAAAAAAAAAAAAAGACCACATTTATGCAGCCAACAGACACATGAAAAAATGCTCATCATCACTGGCCATCAGAGAAATGCAAATCAAAACCACAATGAGATACCATCTCACACCAGTTAGAATGGCGATCATTAAAAAAATCAGGAAACAACAGGTGCTGGAGAGGATGTGGAGAAATAGGAACACTTTTACACTGTTGGTGGGACTGTAAACTAGTTCAGCCATTGTGGAAGACAGTGTGGAGATTCCTCAAGGATCTAGAACTAGAAATACCATTTGACCCAGCCATCCCATTACTGGGTATATACCCAAAGGATTATAAGTCATGCTGCTACACATGCACACGTATGTTTATTGTGGCACTATTCACAATAGCAAAAACTTGGAACCAACCCAAATGTCCATCAATGATAGACTGGATTAAGAAAATGTGGCACATATACACCATGGAATACTATGCAGCCATAAAAAGGATGAGTTCATGTCCTTTGTAGGGACATGGATGAAGCTGGAAACCATCATTCTCAGCAAATTATTGCAAGGACAGAAAACCAAACACCGCATATTCTCACTCATAGGTGGGAATTGAACAATGAGAACACTTGGACACAGGAAGGGGAACATCACACACCGGGGCCTGTCGTGAGGTGGGGGGAGCGGCGAGGGATAGCATTAGGAGATATACCTAATGTAAATGAGTTAATAGGTGCAGCACACCAACATGGCACATGTATACATATGTAACAAACCTGCACGTTGTGCACATGTACCCTAGAACTTAAAGTATAATAAAAAAAATAAAAATAAAGGAAAATCCAACTGGAAGTGATAGGAGGAAAAAAACAAAACTGTAAAAACATAACAAGCAACAACTTTGAGAGTGAAAGAAAGATCCAAAATTTAAAGCTAATTTCCATTATACTCTCAATATGGCTAACCCTTTGATGTTGTTTGCTCATCTATAAACAAGGGAAATTAATTCTTATCTCACTGGGTCAGAGAAAATACTAATGTAATATACGTAAGTGCTTAGCTCAGTGTATTATACAAAATGAACACTAAGTAATTGTTAGTTTCTGTCCTCATGAACAGTTATTTTCTCTAAAAGGAAAGTGCATCGGGGAAACCAACACAGAATTCCAAAAAGAAAGAGTCATTGAGTAATAGTGAAACTCAGGAAACAGCACTGATTCTTCGATAAAGGGACTGGTGCATTTTCTCCAAGGCCAACTTTACTCACAGCCAACAAATTTTGACTAGATCCCAATTTTGCCCATGGCTAGATCTGACCTCACTGAATGAGAGTCATATTTAACGAGGGAGGGATGATTATAAATAGGGAGAGGACATTATACCTTAAATTCAGAAATTCTTCAGAGGAGAATGTTGGTTGCCAGTTACCTCTGGTTATACCGTTGGTCTCGTTTGAAAATATTCATCTGAAACTAAAACTCAGTAGATAAAATTTAGAAAATCCAATATATTAAAAGGATCAAACTAAAGGAACTGGAAAAGAAATTAAGTAATACAATATGTGTAAAGAATGTAAAAATTCAGCTGCTCTTGGATTTGTTAAATTTCTGTTTTCCTTTTGAAATACTTCTGGGAACAGGCAAAACCCAAAAGGTGTTCTACTAAGCACTTTTTCCATTCATGTAGAAATGTCCCAGAGGAAATTTAATCTCCATATTTCTGACACTTTCACACTTAACATCAAATAATTATTTTGTAAGGTTATTTGATATGTTAATAGGGTATGCAGCTTTTTTCAAAGGCTTTCAATTTGTTTTCCTTGGGGGAAAAAATGTAGTCCCATATAACCAAGGGGAAACTAATTCATATACCACTAAGTTCAAATTCAGTTCAAAATTCTGATGCCAAATTGTTTTTTAAAAAGCCTTTCCTGGTTAAAAAATAATAACACTTCTTTCATTATAACATTACAGCCCCAAACCCCCAACTTCAAAGATCATACATATAAAATTTTCTGTATTACTACGCTAATGTCATATATATAATTTCACAAAGAAGCAGCCCCTTATATCATGGAAATGAGAAAATTAAAACTTCTGATATATTGCTGTCATGAATTGAAGATGCATAAATGACTTTGTCACAATTTTGTGTGAGGGTTCTAAGGGTGAATGCAAGAAAACTGGAGCTCCATCAGTCCTAGCTGTTTAAAAAACCTAAACATTGAAGTTCTCTCCAACAAGTGCAAAGTTAATTGCTCTTCATTAAAAAAAAATTGTGGCCTTGGGCTTCTCTAATCTTTAACCTGGAAATATTCAGACACCATCAACTGCTGCCTAGACGACAAAAATAACCTACTAGTTGGTCTCCCCCACAATTTATCTTCTCTCCAATCCACTCCCCTTGAAGAAGCCAGTTCGCTATCTACTTCCAACTCACAGCTTATTATTCATAGAACAGCCAGCATTGTTTCCTTAACATTAAAATCCAATTTTATCTGTGATCCACCTGTGCATAATCAGTGACTATTTTCCAAGAAAAACAAAAACAAAAGAATTTCTTAATGTACCTTGTCCCTCAATCACACATCTTGAGCCTCTTGGCCCCCTTTGGGAATGCCCCTGAGGAAAGCTACTTCCAGCATCAACACGTTTGCACACACTTTCCCCCACGCCTGGACTGTGCCAACCCACCCTCCTTCCCTCTTGGCGCAGTCCAACTCTCCTCACTATTGGAATTTGCTTATCAGTCCCTGCTTCAGAGAAGCCTTCCCTTACCTCATGCATACTGTTTTCACCCACTGAGCATCTTTTCATAATATTTTTTAAAAGTTTAAAATCAAATGTGAATTTTTGTAATATTTTGATAATTGCATTGGACATAGCTCTGAGGATCCACTTTGGTTCACTCAGAAAATTTAGTCTAGTACCATCTAGATAGATTAAGTCATCTCCAAACTTCGTTTAGTAATATCCAGATAAACTAAAGTCATTTATCCATATCTTTAAATAAATTCCCAGTTCTACTACCCTTCATTCTCTTTTCCTGTGTGATACTTATCCTAAATCAGGTATTGATAGTAGAGGACGTCTGCTTCACCTTCTTGATGGAATAATTCATTTTACTGGCTCCTTCTTCAGCAATTACTAGTTCCCTTGTACCTGCCACTGTTAACCATAATTTCATGCAGAATATTCTGAACTCTCTCTTGGTCTCTATGGCTCAACATCTGGGAATGTCTCTCAGCTTCTTGACAAGATATGCCTCTTAAAAATGTAAGAAATTGTAAATATTGCCAATATTATTGGGTCGTGTTTGCGTACGTGTGTTTGTAAGGCGGTATCTTAGCCTATCTGTCAAATAACACCATGCAGTCATTTCTATCATATTGCCACAGAGCGAAGGTAAATCTTCCTTGAAGATTCCATCTTTCTTGGCCTTCATCCAGGATACAAAGATTGCTTTACCTCTTAGATACCCACTAATTTACATGTAATATCACCTTTACTCCTGAAACCTGGGGCTGAGCCCAAAGACAATTTGGATATATGGATTTATGGCAAGCATCCAACTGTATTTAACTATTGATTATCTCTTATCATTGGTGGTTATCCTAAATTTTGCTTAATGTCTATTTCCCTCAGTAGACTATAAGCTTTATCACTACATTCTCAGTATTTGACACAGATTTGGGTCTATGGTAAAAACTTCATTATTATTGAATATCTTTAATATAAACATTGTAGAATTAATTGTTGATGTATGTCATTAGATTAATATTTAAGACCATTTTTTAAGGAAAAAAAATCATCACTATAAATATCCATTACCTGACAAGTTAATATTAATCTTGACCAATTCTTGACTTCTTATAGTTGTATTTTAAATTAAGATTCTTGCCACAATCTGCTGGTTAGTAAAATATATTTTATTGTCCTTTGATTTTAGGCTTGAACATATGAGTTGCTTTGCCCAATTCAGCCTTAAAATAATGATGCAAGTAGACACTTAAAATGCATTTGATTTCTAGAGTCCAGTAATGGAGACAATCTCCTATTGGACTGTCTCACAGATTACTTTAAATATTAAAGAAAACATTTTTAGAAAACCTTAAAGGTGTCTGAGAGCATCCAAAAGTAGAAAAAAAAAATATTGAATAAAGTCTACACTTGAAAGAAAGCAAAGAGATTAAGTCCATCTTTTCTTTTTATGGCCTTTTTATTTCCTGTGTGCAGGACCCAGTTAAACTTCACAGGACAACTAAATTTCAGATAGACAATCTTTAGTCTTATATCCTTAAACAATCAGAAGGCAGATTTCAGGGCAAACAGAGTAGATGAAAAGTAAAGATGTAATTTCAACAAAGGAAACAGCCCCAAAGGTAAAGTCCTAATTCTGCAAATAAACTCTGCCAAAATTTCTGGCTGATTCCTGAACTGAGCATGCAGGTGAAGACTCCAAGCAGCCAAAAGTATGGATAAAGAGTTGAAGATGCCAAGCGTGGTGGCTCATGCCTGTAATCCCAGCACTTTGGGAGGCCGAGGCAGACAGATCACCTGAGGTCAGGAGTTCAAGATCTGCCTGGCCAACATGATGAAACCCTGTTTCTAATAAAAATACAAAAATTAGCTGGGTATGGTGGCCTGTGCCTATCATCCCAGCTACTTGGGAAGATGAGGCAAGAGAACCGCTTGAACCCGGGAGGCGTAGGTTGCAGTGAGCCAAGAATGCACCACTGCATTCCAGTCTGGGCAAAAGAGCAAGACTCCATCTCAAAAAAAAAAAAAAAAAAAAAAAAAAAAAAGAGTTAAAGAGAGATTTTAGCTTATGCCTAAGTCAGAAAAGACAGTGTTTGGAGCCTGTGTCCAGCTGATAACTGTAACAAATTCTGAGTTTCTACATAAACCCAGAGTATAACCCAAAATCACTAGCCCTATGAAGATACAGAAAAATGTGACCCCTAGTCAAGATATGGCAATCAGTAGGAACTGATCCAAAGATGACACAGATAAAATAATTTTTAAAAGAGGTTTTTAAGAAGCTATTTCAACTATATCCAAAAATGTAAATGAAAATGTTTATAAAAAGTACACAAATACAAAACCTCAGCAGAGAAACAGAAGCTATGAAAATTTTAGAGCTAAGAAAATCTGAAGTAAAATAATCTCTGAATGAGCTTAACAGCAGATTATAGATGTATGAACTACAAAAGTACACAGTGACACTACCTCAACATTCCTAGAGTTAGCAATATATGACCGCTGATTAACTGCTGTTCTCCAGATTTTGCACAAAAATGTCTTGCTAACCACTATTAACTGGAAACATAGCGGAAAGAGAAGTCTGAGAAATGTAGCTCAGACTAGCTAAGTTGAGACATTCCAAAGCCACCACAGGTGACTTCTTGTCAGCTTAGAACCCACACACATACCTCTAAACTTCACTTAATTTCAAAACACAGTCACGTTTCTCCCTGGCATTATACAATTATCTTGCATACAATAAAAATAAAATTATGCTGACCACCAGTTTGGGAAGACAAAGAGGGCAGATCACTCGAGCCCAGAAGGTCAAGACCTGCCTGAGCAACATGGTGAAACTCTGTCTCTACAAAAAAAATATGAAAAGTTAGCCAGGCATGATGAAGAATACCTGTAGTCCCAGCTACTTGGGAGGCTGAGGTGGGAGGATCACTTTAGCCCAGGAGGTCAAGGCTACAGTGAGCCATGATTGTGCTACTGCACTTCAACATGGGAAAAAGAGTGAGACTCTGCCTCAACAAAAAAATAAATAAATAATGCTAACACTTTTCCCAAAAGAAAAGATGAGGTCCCTTTTTGTCTTTGAATGAACATCAGTTAATTCTTCTGGTTCGTCTAGCTTTGAGATCCTGTAACTAAAATCATGAGATTTAAAAAAAAGCGTTAGATGGTACGAATATGGGAGAGAAGAAGATAATAAAAGTATTTGGTAAATATATGTAATCAAGTTTTTCTATTTGTAACAACTAGAGCCGTCATTTCTGCACATGACCATGTAGGTCAAAGATTTTTCCAATACTCATGCCATATTCCCTTTGCCCTCAGGAAGCACTCTAGCTAGTGGTGTTCCCTTGCCTGGTGCAGTGATGCAAATATTCATTCATGGATGGTCTGCATCTTTAGCAGTCCTCATTGAATTGGGTCACTGTGCTTTTCCATTGACATTAATCACGGGATGTGGGAGTACTAAGCATCCCATGGAATATTTTAGACATACTCCTCTTTACCCCCTGTGCTGAATAGTGTCTTCCAAAAGTTCATGTCCACCAGGAATCTGTGAATGTGACTTTATTTATAAATAGGTTATTTGCAGAAAGAATCCAGTTAAGATGAGGTCATACTAGATTAAGATGGGCCTTATATCCAATATAATTGTTGCCCTTATAAGAAGGAAATACAGACACAGAGACACAATGGAGAAGGCCATTTGATAATGGAGGCAGAGGTTAAAATGATGTGGCTACAAACCAAGGAATGACAAGCATTGCCAGCAGCCACAAAAAGCTAGGAAAAGACAAAGATGGATCCTCTTATAGAGACCCCAAAGACTGAGTACACTGCTTGAAGTTCTTCCCACTGGGAGGTTATCCCTTCACCAGTGTCCCTCCAGGTTGTTCTAATGTGGAAATATAGTATTGTAGCTGCCCACTTTCAAGTAATGCCTGCTTATCACGCAGAACCATCTGAAAACGATGCTGGAGCCTTCTTATTCTCAGTCAGTTGCTCATAGGATGCTCCCCGTGAGAACACAGGTTTGAACTGGGAGAAAGAAGATAATGAAGCAAGAGTAGGTGTCACCAGAATCTGGGCCACTTCTTCATTCAACTTACTTATGGCTCCCTGCCCCTTTTCTGGTCTCCCCAGCTTGAACTTGATCTCACATATACCATTTCTATTTGTTGATGGAGTGTTGCATGCATACTATTTTGTCTTGGTGGATCAGATGACATCCAGTTTTTTATCTATAACTGAGGTGCCTGGTAACTTGGTAATCCATAATCAAATATCAAGTCTCTGCCAAAGCAATGCTGTAAACCAGAAATTAGTTCTCAAAAGGAAATTAGTTATCCTCCAAGCATGCATGACTTTGTTTCAAAATCCTGATTCTCCATCTGTGAAATGAGTCTGAGTTACATGCCCAAAGGAAAAATACATTTACCTCCAAAATCCAAAGAGTTCCAGTAAGAATTGTATACCTTTCTAGATCATAGGAGGGGCTGGATGCAGCAACTTATTCTTCATGTTGGAGGGAATATCATGGCATACCTAAAACCACTGGGCCTTTCAGAAATTTCACCAAGATGGTAGGCACCAGAATTTTTGTATGATTTACTTCCCATCCTCTGGCAATGCAAGTATCTAGAATAGCTGGCACTTGCTGCTTACTGTGTCCTATAAGAAAATAACAACCATATAATATAATGGCCCAACTTGTATCTTATGGGATAGAAAAGTTACAGTTGTCCCAAGTAGTAGATATGGCAAAGAACTGAAGAGTTAAGATAGCCCTGGAACTATCCCCTCTTCCTACAGTCTTTACTAACAAATATAGACAGAAAAGCATTCATTGTATCAGCAGCTCCATACCAGATGCAGAAGGATATGTTGCTTTGATTCAGTAATGAAACCACATCTGGGACAGCAGCTGTAATTGGAGTTACTACCTAAGTATAAAACAATCCACTCTTATTCTCTAAGACCAGCCAGTCTTCTGCACAGGCCAAGTGGGTGAGTTGATGGGGATGTGGTTGGGATCACCACTACTGTTTCATGATGCTGACATAATCTCTGCAATCTACAATTCCTCCAGAAATGTCGTTTTATTTTAGTTTTACTCTTTTCAAAAGCTGAGGCAGTTCTAGTTGTTTTCATGTGGCCTTTCCTACCGTAATTGCCTTTATTCCACGTATCAGGGAATGAATGTGAGGATCTATCAGTGGCTGAGCATGACTATTCCAATGATGCCTTCTAGAACTGCAGACAAAAAAAAAATCACAAAGTGGATTGGGGAAATCCGCTGGACCTGCTTTTTGAAATGGACCCGAGTCAAAACTCCAATGGTCACTGGATCTCTGTAAGCTACTACTGTAACTAACATATCACAGTAATGTTTAGTAATGGCTGAAAAATTAAGATTATTTCCCCTTCACCCTGACAAGTAACAATAGGTCCATTTGAGGAAGACTAGGAAGAAGATAAACAGGAAAATTTTTTAGCAATGTAGTAAGGTTTTTCCTGAGTGGAACCCAGCCTCTCCTTAACTCAAGGAGCTCTGGGGTGTGAACTGGCTCACACAATTACAACTAATAAATGAATTTCTTAAAGTTTAAAGACTTAATACAAAAATCAATTGTATTAAAATATATTTGCCACAAAAAATGTTTAAATGAGTCTCAATTCCTTAAGATCCATTCATACACATATTCCCCAGGTTTTGTTGATATAAATGGGGAAACCCATGCAATGCTTTTGGTGTGTATAATACTACTTACACTGTTCTATCTCACCCTCTAGGCCATGTTGGACTTGAGTCTACATGTAGGCCTCTAAGCAAGAAGAGAAAAGGAAGGTAGGTACTGAGAAGAATCAGCAGTATCTCACACAAGGCAACTACCATGGGGGAGGTTATCCTTGTAAACAAGAATTCATTAATTTTCTCAGGCAAGGATGGAAGGTTTCTTCCACTCACAACAAAAGGGTTATTACTTAATACTCCAACTCTCCCAAAAGAGACAGTGAGAAGTTGGGAATTCAATTTGTGTGATGTAAAGCCATCTGCAGAACTAGACTTTGGGTTTGATTTTCAGTATCTTCAGCTCTGCAGCTGTAGAGGCTAAGGTCTGGTTTGGTTTGGTTTTAAGGGCAGTCACAGAAGCTGTCACCTCTCTTACAGTAGACATTAAGCTGGGAGCTTAAAACACTGCAATGAGTTCATCAGTTTCCCTAAATTTTCCAGCATATTTAGAATAACCGACTTACCCTATCATATTCTATTTTTACACACAAAAATGTTCTGTAACAGCAACTACATGATGACGCAGATACTTGTCTTCAACAGGTTTTTTTATGATGTCTACAGGTAATAATAATTTCCATAAATTAATTGCCACTGAATTCCTAGGGCTAGCAAATCCCCTTTATCACTGGAAACAGAGTCAACAATGTCTAAACTTCATCTGATCAGAGGACCAATTTCAAGTAATCTAGAAATAGCTCATAGAATTATGCTTCAGATTCTGCCCCCTGAACCAATACTTATTAACAAATTCTTTATCAGTCAGAGTACAATTAAAGAGGCAGAACCCTTAACACAATTTGACCATAAGCAATTGTGGGAGCTGGTTGATCAGTTTGTGTAACACTTTTGTCTTCTAGCTGAAGCCCATGAGGAAGAGGACCAGGAAGGGAAGATGAATACAAAGCAGAGGAGAACAAGGATAAGCTGGAACCCACAAGTAACAGAATCTAAGTTATTTATTGCTGCATAAAAATACCCACAACCTAATGGCTTAAAACTAAGAGGACATTAACTGTGTATTATCTCTCACATATTTTGTGTGTCAGAAATTCAGGAGCAGCTCAGCTGGTCTTATAAAGTTTCAGTCAGGTGTGAACTCCAGTGTCTGTCATCTACAGGCCTGACAGGGCTGGAGTAACCATTTCCAAGACAGCTCACTCATATGACTCAATTACTGGCCGGTGATTAGAAAGAGAACCAATTTTCTCACCACACAATCTTCTTCATAGGGCTACTTGAGCGTCCTTACAATATTTCACCTAGCTTTACCCAGGGTGAAGGATCCAAGAGATAGAGCAAGCAATGAGAAAGTCACAATGCCTTTTATAACCTTAACACTGAACAACGTTTGCATCCCTTGCCAACATTTATAGGTTGAAATCCTAACTCCCAGTGTTATGGTATAAGGAGATGGGGCCTTCGGGTGAAAATTAGATCTCAGGAGCATCGCCTCCAAGTATGAGACTACTGCTCTTATTAAAGGAGACCCCAGACTTTTTAATCATCGCCATTCTAACTGCCATGAGATGGTATCTCATTGTGGTTTTGATTTGCATTTCTCTAATGACTAGTGATGATGAGCTTTTTTTTCATGTTTGTTGGCGACATACATGTCTTCTTTTGAGAAGTGTCTGTTCATATCTTTCACCCACTTTTTGATGGGGTTGTTTTTTTCTTGTAAATTTATTTAAATTCCTTGTAGATTCTGGATATTAGACCTTTGTCAGATAGGTAGATTGCAAAATTTTTCTCCCATTCTGTTGGCTGCCTATTTACACTGATGATAGTTTCTTTTGTTGTGCAGACACTCTGTAGTTTAGTTAGATCCCAGATGCTGGTGAGGCTGTGGAGAAGCAGGAACACTTTTACACTGTTGGTGGGAGTGTGAATTAGTTCGACCACTGTGGAAGACAATGTGGCAATTCCTCAAGGATCTAGAACCAGAAATACCATTTGACCCAGCCATCCCATTACTGGGTATATATCCAAAGAATTATAAATCATTCCACTATAAAGACACATGTACATATATGTTTATTGCAGCACTATTCACAAACGCAAAGACTTGGAACCAATCCAAATGCCCATCAATGTTAGACTGGATAAAGAAAATGTGGCACACATACCCATGGAATACTATGTAGCCATAAAAAAGAATGAGTTCATGTCCTTTGCAGGAACGTGGATGAAGCTGGAAACCATCATTCTCAGCAAACTAACACAAGAAGAGAAAACCAAACACTGCGGGTTCTCACTCATAAGTGGGAGTTGAACAATGAGAACACATGGACACAGGGAGGGGAACGTCACACTCTGGGGCCTGTCGGGGTAGTGGGGGTAGGCGAGGGAAAGCATTAGGACAAATGCCTAATGCACGTGGGGCTTAAAACCTAGATAATGGGCTGACAGGTGCAGCAAATCACCATGGCATATGTATACCTAGGTAACAAACCTGCACATTCTGCACAAGTATCCCAGAACTTAAAGTAAAAAATTTAAAATAAATAAATAAATAAAAAAGGAGATCCCAAAGAACTCTCTGGCTCTTTCTGCCATGTGAGGATACAAGGAACAGCGGGCAGTCTGCAATGTGGAAGAGGGGCTGCACCAGAAGTGGAGCATGCTGGCACCCTGATCTTGAATTTTCAGCCTCCAGACTGTGAGAAATAAATTTCTGTTGCTTCTAAGCTACCCAGGCTATGGGATTCTGTTATAGCAACCTGAACTGAATACAACACTGTGCACTATCACTTCTTTCTTATTTGTTAAAAGCAGGAACCTAAGTCCTGCCTGCACTTGAGTAGAATTAGGCTCTTCCTTTTGAAGAAAAGAATGTCAAATAATTTGTGGAAATATTTTAAACATAACATAAACATACCACGATTCCATTCTTGTGTATTTATTCAAAAGAAAGCAAGCACACGTTCACAAAAAAAGGATATATGTGAGAATGAGCATAGAAGTTTTGTTTTAAAACAGTAAAGAGCTTAGGCATCCATCAACAGAGAATGGGTAAACACACTGGTATATTCATACAATATCACGCAGAAGCAAAAAGAAACTACTGATTGTGCAAATATACAAGAATGCTAAAAATGATTCTCAATAAAACAAGCCTAACACATTTTATTTCCTATGTCTGAACCCATATATATGAAGTTCTAAAACAGCTAATTTGTACTATATAAACAAAATCAGAAAAGTGGTTGCCTCTAGACTTGAGAGATGAGAACATACTGTGAAGTACCATGGGGGAATTTTCTGTGGGCATTACGGACACTCTGTAACTTGACAGGAATATGTTACACTAACACTAGTATCTACATTTATTAAAACCCATAGAATAGTATGCTTAATATTTATGCTTGTCACTGTATATAAATTGTACCCAAAATGTAAATATTAAACACTTGATAAGCATTCTCACAAGTTACATGTGAAATATGCTGCTATCTGAAACTTACTATGACATATAGAAAAATAAGACAAACTAATGGATGCATAGAGAGATGGGGGTTGGATGGATATATATGTAATAAAGCAGGTCTAGCAAAATATTAATAATGGAACCTATGTAGTACCTATATGGGTGCTCATTGTCCAGTTGCTTCCTCTTTTCCATATGTTTAAACATGATTACCATAAAATGTTGGGGAAATGTACTTGAATAATTTGGTTTGACCTCTTGTGATTCTGCCAC
Organism: Homo sapiens; assembly: GCF_000001405.40. NCBI lineage: Eukaryota > Metazoa > Chordata > Mammalia > Primates > Hominidae > Homo > Homo sapiens. The sequence continues at coordinate 23,746,371 of NC_000006.12, forward strand.
CGCTATGAGGAGAGCATGTCCAGGTTCACCTGCTGGTCTAAGGAAGAAGAGGGACATCTGGAGCAGATCTGATCCCAAACAGTAGTGTGGAGGCCAGCCTGGCCAATCCTTGATAGAGTGGCCAATCCCCATATGCACTGCAGATGGGGAACTGGGAATAAAAGATTATTGTTTTAGTCTTTGAATTTAAGGATGATTTGTTACATAGCATTATCATGGCAAGAACTGAATCACTAAGGTAATTATTTTCCCACATTATCACTCTGTAGAGATATATAAAAGAAATGCTTATATTTAAAAAATGCTTCGCTATGTCTCATGCAGAACAAATTAAAATTATAATCCATGCCTTATAGAGAGCCTTAACTATTGAAAACATATAAGAAGTGCATGGGCAAATAAGTAGCCGGTATGAAGATAATGACATAACATTAAATATATTCCTAGGTGATAGGATGGTCAAGGCACTTGCTTTACAATTGGACAAACAGAGGAAGTCAGCATCTGATAAGATTTGATTGAATTTAAAGGCAACATATATAATCAGTTTTGCAATGGTTTAGGTAAAAGTGAAAGGATGACTTCCCAAGGTCCCTTCATTATAATTTTATAATTCTTTGGCTATAGCGTTGCTTAACCCAGAGACTGGCTGCCTAAGGGAGCATAGTATTAAATTATATTCAACCATATGAGCTGCAATGGCCAAGATGAGTCCAAAGTATTGGGAAGAATCTCTGAGGAGATTCAGAGAGAAAGAGAAGAAAAAAAAAAAGCTCATTTTGATTCATGTCTGGCAACTTATCCAATTAAATTTAATTAGCCCTTCAAATTAATTTTGAACAAATTTTTAATCGTTTTATATGCAGCCTCCTCCTCCTATATCTGTTCTTTCTTCTCCAAAGATAGAACCCTGGGAACAGACTATGGGCTTAAAAGTCGCAAGGCATATTCCTTTCTCACTGTCCATTGAAACCAACTCTCAGCTGAAAAGCCATGAGGCTTTTTAAGGGTCTGTGAGCAGTCATGACCCTGCCCTCTACACATCACCTCCAAGGCATGTCCATCTCGATGAGCTCAGGCCCGACAGTCTGGAGCCCAGAAGGCTGCTGCTTTTCAAGGGTGATCATTCATCAAGACCCGAAGTCTCCTAGCCAACTAATTGAAAAATAAATAGGAGCATTTTTACTGCAACAATAAAGGCTGACCTTTGCACCCCAGACCTTCGCATCAGTTTGGAGAAAAAAAACAAGATTTAAAAAAAAAAAATCATCTGTATGCTTTATGGCTCACATCCCCTACCGTGATCCAACTGAGGGCTTCTCAAGAAGGTCGCCCCGTTGGTCAATCCTTTCACCAGAGAAGGCATTAAGCCATAAACTGGAAGACCTAGGCAGAGTTGAGTCCTAGGCAAAATTATGAATTGAATCCCAATGCCCTTCCTGCTGAATTTTCAGGTCCTGAAGACCTCATTACCCTCTCTTGCCCATCGCTCCCCATGTTATACAACTCCAACACTTCGTGCCTTTCCCTGGGTATCAGGCAAATCCCCCATCATAAGATTCTTCCAGTGCCAGTACACCCTTTCCTACTAGCCCTACACAAGACATTTTACTGTGTGTTTTAAAATCTAATCCACTTCTGTGTATAAATTACAAAGTAAAGTGCATTTATTTGTTTTATCTCTCAGCAAATACATCTATTTGGTTCAGAGGAAAGAATAGCTTGGAAATCAGATAGATCTTGTTCCAACCTGAGTCAGTAGCTGTGTAATTTTGAAGAAGTGTTAACTTTTTTGAACTTTTCTAAAAAAGGGAAACAAAGTATTTCGTAAGGTTATTGTAAAAATTAAAAGTGATGCAGGAACAGCGAACTAAACACCACATGTTCTCACTCATAATTGGGAGCTGAACAATGAGAACACATGGACACAGGGAAGGGAACAACACAAACCTGGGCAGGTTGGGGGGTGAGGGGCAAGGGGAGGGAGAGCATTAGGACAAATACCTAATGCATGCAGAGCTTAAAACTTAGCTGACGGGTTGATAGGTGCAGCAAACCACCACGGCACATGTATACCTATGTAACAAACCTGCATGTTGTGCACATGTATCCCAGAACTTAAAGTAAAATAAATAAAAAGTGATAATATGTGAAATATCCAACAGAGAGTGTAGTATTTATGTATCTCAGTAACTATTTAACAACCTGAATATAAACTGTCATCTATCTAATAATTAAGAGCAAATAATGTCACGTTCCAGGTACTCTGGGAGTACAATGTCTCTCCAAGTTTTCTATGAGTTCTCAAGCAGGCATATATACCCATGATCACCTTATCTATAGTTCTGAGTCCTCTCTTTTCTAAAATAATTCAGTTCATTACTCGTGCATCACAGAAATACGACTTATTTTTAAATTTACACACCATATGCATATGTGTAACGCTTGCAAAAAAATAAGAACACATAGCAGACTTCAAAATTTAATGAGATGGTGAGTTTTTTATTCAAGAAATGTAGGCAAGTTCAATTAAATTTTCGATTTGATGAAAGTCCTTGAGCCTGTGATACTCTGCTGTTTTGGTCCTCTCATCACCCACATTCAAATTCTCACCTATTTCTAATTATTGCATGGCTTATTTATTAATATTTGCTACAAAGTCTCAGCTTCTATCCTAAAGTTTTAGGCAGATATTTTCTTAAACTATACCTTCATACCAAAAAGAAAGAAAAAATCTTAGCGAAATTAAGTTAAATTTTGAAAATTGTTATTAATTTCTTTACCATTTAATATCCTCAAAAACAGTTTCATGTCTTAAAAAAAAATTCTACTCACTCATTGGAAGACAATATCTCACATCCAGTGTGTGCTCAAATATTCATTACAAGTAGTGAAGCAGTAAACTGTTGAGAAGAAGCTTTTACAGACCCCTTAAATCAGACCACGTAAGCAAGTGACTGCTTCCAGTCAGGGACCAACTGGCCAACCTTTATGCCTTCAGAAAGATGCCCATGAGCTTTCTCTTCTCATTGTTATTTTTTTTTGTGTGTCTTTTTAATCAGAACACATTTTCCCCCAGCTTTATTGACATACAATTGACAAAAGTTGTATAAATTGAGGAGTACAAACCCGTTTTAATATATGTACACATTGTAAAGTGATGACCACCATCAAGCTAATATATCACCTCATGGAGTGATCTTTTGTGTGAGAACACTTAAGATAGATACTCTTTCAGCAAATTTCAAGTGTACCATGCAGCATCATTAACTATATTCACCATGCTGTACATTAGATTTACAGAGGTAATTCATCATGCCTGACTTAAACTTTGTACCCTTTAATCCATATTTCTCCATTTCCCACAATCTCAAGGGCCTGGCAAACACCATTCAATGCTCTGTCTTCATGAGTTCAACTTTTTTAGATTTGACATATAAGTGAGATAATACAATATTTGTCTTGCTATGTCTGGCTCATTTTACTTGGCACTATGTCCTCCAGTCTCATCCACGTTGTTGCAAATGGCAAGATGTCCTTAATTTTAAGGCTGAATTATATTCCATTGAATATTTTTATAAATATCTATATATCTAAATTATTTTCTTTTTCCATTCATTCACTGGACTCTTAGTTTGCTTCCATATCTCAGCTATTGTGAATAATTCTGCAATAAACATGGGCATACAGATATCCCTTCGAAATACTGATTTCATATGTTTTATACAAAGCCAGAAGTAGGACTGCTGATTCATAAAGTAAGTTGCACTTTTTTTTTTAAGAGAGAGTCTCTCTCCGTTGCTCAGGCTGGAGTGCAGTGGTGTGATCTCAGCTCACTGCAACCTCCGCCTCCTGGGTTCATGCCATTCTCCCGCCTCAGCCTCCTGAGTAGCTGGGACCACAGGTGCCTGCCACCACGCTCGGCTAATTTTTTTTCATATTTTTTCGTACAGACAGGGTTTCGGAGCCTTCAGACCGGTTTCTGTAATAGCTCTATCAATTTACATTCCTACCAACAGTATGTAAGGGTTCCCTTTTCTCCACTTCTTTGCCAACACGTATCTCCTATCTTTTTGATGGTCATCCTAACTAGTGTGAGGTAATATTTCATTGTGGTTTTGATTTACATTTCCCTGAAAATTCATAACAGTGAGCACTTTTTCATAGACCTATTGACTTCTTTGGAAAAATGTTAAGTGTTTATTCAGGTCTTTTGCCCATTTTTTTATATTTGGGTTATTTTTAAATTAACTTATCTATGCTTTTGGGTTGTATTCTTTATATATTTTGGATTTTTGCTCCCTTATTAGATGTATGACTTGCAAACATTTTTTCTCCCATTTTGTATATTGTCTCTTCACTCTATTGATCTTTTTATTCTCATGGAGAAGCTTTTCAGTTTGATATGATCCCACTTCTCTATTTTTGCTTTTGTTGTTGCGTTTTTGAGGTCATACCCAAAAAGTCATTGCCCAGACCAATGTCAAGACGCTTTTCCTTCGTGTCTTCTTCTAGAAATTTTACAGTTGAAAGTCTGACATCTGAATTTTTAATGACTTTTAAGTTGATTTTATATATGGTGTGAGATAAGGGCCTAATTTCATTCTCTTCATGTGAATATCAAGTTTTCTCAACATCATTTATTAAAAAGACTATCCTTGCCCCAGTATGTGTTCTTTACACCTTTGTCAAAAATCAGTTGACTGTAAATGTGCTAATTTATTCCTGGGTTTTCTATTCTGTTCCATTGGTCTATATGTCTGCTTTTATGCCAGTGCCATATTATTTAATTACAGTCGTGTTGTAATATATTTTGAAATCAGGAAGTGTGATACCTCCAGCTTTGTTCTTGCTCAGTGTTGCTTTGGCTATTTAGAATCTTTTGAGGTTTCATAAAAATTTTAGGATTGTTTTTTCTCCGTTTGAGAAAAGTTTCATTGGAATTTTGTTAAAGATTACATTGAATCTGTAAATCACTTAGGGTACCATGGCCACTTTAATAATATTGATTATTCCAATCCATGGACGAAAAAAATATTTCCATTTGTTTCTTCTTGAATGTTTTCATCAATGTTTTAAAGTTTTCATGTACAGATCTTTCACCTCTTTGGTTAAATGCATTCCTAAGTATTTTTATTTTTTGATGCTATTGTAAATGGGTTTTCTTAAATTTTTTTAATAATTCATTGTTAGCATGTGAAAATGCAACTGATTTTTGTACGTTGATTTTGTATCTTGCAACTTTACTGAATTCATTAGTTTTAACAATTTTTTTGGTGGCATCTTTAGAGCTTTCTATATATAAGATCATGCCATCTGCAACAGAGATGATTTTACTACCTCCTTTCCAATTTGGATGCCTTTTGTTTTTCTTGCCTAATTTCTCTAGCTAGGACCTTCCATAGCATGTTGATCTTAGGGGAAAAGCCTTCAGTTATTCACTATCGACTATGAGGTCAGCTCTGGGCTTGTCAAAACACTTTCAAGAAGGCCACGGAAAGATTTCTTTTCTTACTTTTTTCTCTCCTAATTCTTCCTGAAACTCAAAATTTTGAATTTGAAAATAATTGCAAAAGCTACTATTGTTTAATGTAATTTATTTTACATTCTTGTAATTTTAAATATCTATATATTATCTATCTATCTATACACATGCAAATGCATATTAAAAAAGTACTCTGAGTTTCTGAGTTCTGGCAAAACTTTCTCAAGACACCAGAATGGGAGTTCTAATAAATGGCCTCAGTTAGTAGAGAAACAATTCTAGAGAAAGCAGCACAACAGGTAAAAGGCCACCTGTAAGTCACAATGGAAACCAAACAGAATTGTTCTAAAAAAAAAAACACACACACACACACACACACACACACAATTTTGCCAAACATTTTTCACTAGCATTTTATAAATGTTGAGATTACAACTAAAAATTGGTCAATCTTTGGAGATATTTGCAAATCTTTTCAATGTTGTCTTAGATAATATATGCAATAAGTTTGCTCAAAAGTATTTCTTCAAGTTCTATTTAAATTGTCAGTGAAATAAACGATAGGAAGTCCCTGCTCAGCTGTGTTGATTTTTTAAGTGCTAAATTAAAACTCTACTATCATTTTTGCCTTATGCTTATTGAGGTCATGAAAAATTGACTGTCATAAAGTAGAATTTGATTAAAGATAATGAGACAAAATATTTAAATAAATCACATTTTAGGACTACAATATAATAGATTGGTGAAATTAACCTAAAACATATGTACTATTCAGCATTATCTGAAAAAAAATCATAAACCAGCAGGATGATTTTCTTCTGTTCCAGGCTCATTGTCTTTTTCCATCACTAATTATATGACAGTAAATTATGAATCATGCATAAATCCCACACTGGCTAATTTTTAACAGAAGTTAAATCTGACTGAATTTTCTATCTCCATGCAATTTTAATATCATTGGAAGCAAACTGGGAGAAAAACATTATGAAAATACATATTTTGGATTCTCCTCTCTCTCTAGGTACAGATTCTTCACTCAATGAGCTTTACTCAAAAAGTAAGAGGGTTAACATGCTATTCAATCCCAATCAATGTTATCATTTCATTTCTTGCAAAGTCAAATATGTATTTTTGTAACTTTTAATTTATTTAGAAAGTAAAGCTGCTTTGATACCTCTTGGAAATGCTTATCTACTATTACACACAACTCATAAATTAAAACATTATTTTATGTATTCTATAGACATTTTATATTTTTTGATAAGAAATAACGTATAAATCCATACCACTGAGACAAAGTAAAAAAAAAAAAAATCCTAGCTAGACAACTTCCAGAGAAGTGATTTCAAACAAATTCCTTCTCCTCTTTATAGAAGGAAACATTAAAAAGTAATGAAATAAGTCTCAATTCCTAGACATTTTGGGAAAATCAGCCATGAGCAAATTTTCTAGCTATCTGAGCTTAATTTGAAGTCAAACAAATCAAACATCTATATTTGATAAAACATTGTTAAACAAAGATAATTAAGATACAGACCCTCTTCTACTTTATTAGTCTACCAAACCCACATGACATAAGCTTACCTATGTAATGAACCTGCACTAGTACCCCTGAACTTAAGTTACAAAAACCTTTTAGTTAAAACTAAAGTTTTAGTAAAAACTTAAAAGTTAAAAAAACTCTCCTTATTACTCAAAGATGTATAAACAAATACTGTAAAGTAGAAAGCAGACACCATTTCTCCCAGAAGTTTTACCAAACAGTAGGAGATAAAGAGGTTGCATAGTAAATTAAAACTTTGGGGGAACAAAAGTGATGTCTCTTTGAAGTTTCTTTTTTAGGTGGTGGTGGTTTTAATATGGATCTTATGTTATATCCTAGAAACAAATGACTAAGTGGAATCATTGTGAATGCCACTGAATGTAATGTGTATTAAAAGAATTGTGATCACAGGGGCCACAGACAGTTATAGAAAAGATTACCCATACTCTAAATGGCGCTCCCATTATGTTACTTCTGAATTGTCGCATTAGCTTTACCTGTTGCTTTTTGTCTTTCATCCTGTTAGAAATCTCTTTTGGCAACAAGCCATTCTCCACTTCCCCCTTACATACCATCTGTAATAAGTAAACATTTCATTAATTTTATATTCCACTAATTTAGAGTCTCAATTCTAGCAAAGAATGAGCATCAGTTGAGGTGGTTCCAAGGTTTTGTTTTTCAATATGGATCCTCTTGCCTAGTCTAAGCATTTCTGATTCAGAAGGTCCAAAGTAAGGGAAAATGATTTATTGGTTTTTTAAACTCCTTGGGTAATTTAGATATCATTCACAGTTGAGAGTTACCACTCTAGTTTACCTTTTATAAGACATCTGTTATAAAACAACTATACAATATTTAGTCTAAAAAAGAAGGTAGTCCTTTTTGAGAACTTCCAAATTTTTCCTGCCTATTCCTAAATTGTTTTACCCTATCCAGAAATACAGCAAGGGCATGTTCTTTTTGGAAGTCTTTGTTCATAGAATAGCAACCCCATCATGTGGTATCTTGCTGAAATTGCTACTAGAGGCATATTAGGTGAGAGTGTATTTTTCATAAACAAAAGCAAACTTCAAAAAATATATTATTTACTTAACATGTATTGAGCAGCTATATGGCAGACATGTTAGGAGTCCAAAAACAACAAAAAAATGCAAACATCAATACTGTATTCAGACCTCAGTTGAAATCCGTACATCAAAAATAAATCTAGTTGACCCCAATATAATAATGCATTCTAATTTAAATTAGCAATCTAAACTTTAAAGTTAAAATCCATTTGAACTTCCTAAAAAGATTGTTTCATTGAAGCTAGAACAAGGCTAGTTGATTGCTGTACCAGTATAACATATTATCTCAATAATGGGGTCTCTCCCTCTCCTCTTTCAGAGCACATATGGTCATTACCCAGGAAACTCCCAGGTAACCACACAGAACAATCTTCAAAATTGTGTTTACCAGCATCCAAGAGCAATACCCTTCAAAGTTGTATTAACTGACCCTGAAATCTAAACCAACATTGGTTCGAATTTTTCCAGTTGAGTTTTTCTCCAATGCCTCCAAACATTTCTAGTTTAATTTTTTAAAATGTCATTTTAACTTATTTTTTTATTTAGATTCTGGGGGTGTATGTGCGGAATTGTTACATGAGTATATTGCATGATGCTGAGGTTTGGGCTTCTAATGATCCTGTTGCCCAGGTACCAAATGTAGTACTGGACACATAGTTTTTCAAACTTTACCCCCAACTGCTTCCCTCCTTGCCTTTGGACTCCTCAGTGTCTACTTTGTGTCTGTATGTACCCAATATTCAGCTTCCACTTACAAGTGACAACATGCAGTATTTGATTTTCTGTTTCTGCATTAATTTGCTTAGGATTTTGGCCTCCAGATGCATCCACCTTGCTGTAAAGACATTTTTTTGTGTGTGATTTTGTAATATTCCATGGTGTATACGTACCACATTTTCTTTATCCAATTCACCATTAATGGGCATCTGGGTTGATTCTACTTCTTGGCTATTGTGAATACTGCTGCCATAAACATACAAGTAGAACAATTTATTATCCTTTTTGGTAGAATGATTTATTTTCCTTTGGGTATATAACCAGTAATGGAATTGCTAGGTCTAATGTTAACTCTATTTTTAGCTCTTTGAGAAATCTCCAAACTATTTCCCACAGGGGCCAAGCTAATTTTCCTTGATACCACAGTGTATAAGCATTCTCTTTTGTCCACAACATTGCCAACAGATTATTTTTTTTCTTTCTAATAATAGTCATTCTGACTTGTGTAAGATGGTATCTCCTTGTGGTTTTGATTTACATTTCAGTGATTAGTGATAATGAGCAATTTTTCCTATGTTTTTTAGCCACTTATCTTTTTTTGTGAAGTGTTTGCTCATATTCCTTGCCCACTTTTAATGAGGTTGTTTATGCTTGTTGATTTAGGTTCCTTATAAATTGTGGATATTACTTGTCAAATTCATCATTTGCAAATATTTTCTCCCATTCTGTATGTTGTCTGTGTATTCTGTTGGTAGTTTATTTTGCTGTGCAGAAGCTCTTCAGTTTAAGTCCCATTTGTCTACTTTTGATTTTGTTGCATTTGCTTTTGAGGTCTTCTTCATAAATTATTTGCCTAGACCAATATCTAAAAGAATACATCCCAGGTGTTCTACTAGAATTTTTATAATTTGACATCATTACATTTAAATCTTTAATCCATCTCAAGTTAATTTTTTTACATGGTGAGAGGTAGGGGTCCAGTTTCATTCTTCTGCATATGGCTAGCCAGTTTTTCCAGCAACATTTATTGAATAGGGAGTCTTTTTCTCATTGTTTATTTTTGTTGACTCTATCAAAGGTCAGCTGGCTGCAGGTGTGCTGCTGTATTTAAGGGTTCTCTATTATTTTCCATAAGGGTTCTCTATTATTTTCCATTGGTCTGGGTGTCTATTTTTGTACCAGTGCCATGCTGTTTTGGTTACTATAGCCTTGCAACATAGTTTGAAATCAGTTAATGTGATGCCTCCAACTTTATTCTTTTTGCTTAGTAATATTTTGGCTATTAAGGATTAGATTACCATTTATCATTTTTTGGTTTCATATCAATTTTAGAATAATTTTTTCCTAATTTGTGAAAAATAATGTTGGTAATTTGATAAAAATAGCCTTGAATCTATAGATTGCTTTGGAGAGTATGGACATTTTAACAGTATTGATTCTTCCAACCCATGAGCATGGGATACATTTCCATTTGTTTGTGTCATGCATGAATGATTTCTTTCAGCAGTGTTTTGTAGTTCTCCTTGCAGAGATGTTTCGCCTCCATGATTTTATGTACTAGCATATAGTTTATTTGGTAACTATTTTAAATGAGATTGTGTTCTTGATTTTCAGCTTGTAGGCTATTGGTGTAAGAAATGCTGATTTTTGTACATTGATATTGTATCCAGAGACTTTGCTGAAGCCATTTGTCTAATCAAGGGATCTTTCGATGAAATTTTTAGATTTTCTACGTATAGAATCTTATCATCAGTGAATAGAGATAATTTGACTTCCTCTTTTCATTTTGGATGTCTTTTGTCTTCCCTGATTGCTCAGTCATATTGGATTTCCAATATGATGTTAAATAGGAGTGGTGACAGTGGGCATCCTTGTTTTGTTCCAGTTTTCAGGGGGAATGCTTCCAGCTTTGCCCAATCAGTATGATGTTGGCTGTGAGTTTGTCATAGATGGCTCTTATTATTTTCAAAGTATGTTCCTTTGATGCCTAGTTTGTAGAAGATTTTTATCATGAAGGGATGTTGGACACCATGGTAATATTGTATTACTAAATAGTACAAACAATTCCTTTTTTATTATACTTTAAGTTCTAGGGTACATGTGCACGAAGTGCAGGTTTGTTACATATGTATATATGTGCCATGTTGGTGTGCTGCACCCATTAACTCGTCATTTACATTAGGTATATCTCTTAATGCTATCCCTCCCCGCTCCCACCCCCCACCCCAGGACAGTCCCTGGTGTGATGTTCCCCTTCCTGTGTCCAAGTGTTCTCATTGTTCAATTCCCACCTATAAGTGAGAACATGCGGTGTTTGGTTTTTTGTCCTTGCAATAGTTTGCTGAGAATGATAAAAGAGCCCAGATTGCCAAGTCAATCCTAAGCCAAAAGAACAAAGCTGGAGGCATCACACTGCCTGACTTCTAACTATACTACAAGGCTACAGTAACCAAAACAGCATGGCACTGGTAGCAAAACAGATACAGACCAATGGAAGAGAACAGAGCCCTCAGAAATAATACCACACATCTACAACCATTTGATCTTTGACAAACCTGACAAAAACAAGAAATGGGGAAATGATTCCCTATTCAATAAATGGTGCTGGGAAAACTGGCTAGCCATATGGAGAAAGCTGAAACTGGATCCCTTCCTTACACCTTATACAAAAATTAATTCAAGATGGATTAAAGACTTAAATGTTAGAACTAAAACCATAAAAACCCTAGAAGAAAACCTAGGCGATACCATTCAGGACATAGGCATGGGCAAGGACTTCATGTCTAAAACACAAAAAGCAATGGCAACAAAAGCCAAAATTGACAAATGGGATCTAATTAAACTAAAGAGCTTCTGCACAGCAAAAGAAACCACCATGAGAGTGAACAGGCAACCTACAGAATGGGAGAAAATTTTTGCAACCTACTCATTTCACAAAGGGCTAATATCTAGAATCTGCAAAGAACTCAAATTTACAAGAAAAAAACAACCCCATCAAAAAGTGGGCGAAGAATATGAACAGACACTTCTCAAAAGACGACATTTATGCATCCAACAGATACATGAAAAAATGCTCATCATCACTGGCCATCAGAGAAATGCAAATCAAAACCACAATGAGATACCATCTCACACCAGTTAGAATGGCAATCATTAAAAAGTCAGGAAACAAAGGGTGCTGGAGAATATGTGGAGAAATAGGAACACTTTTACACTGTTGGTGGGACTGTAAACTAGTTCAACCATTGTGGAAGACAGTGTGGCGATTCCTCAAGGATCTACAACTAGAAATACCATTTGACCCAGCCATCCCATTACTGGGTATATATGCATAGAATTATAAATCATGCTGCTATAAAGACACATTCACACATATGTTTATTGCGGCACTTTTTACAACAGCAAAGACTTGGAACCAACCCAAATGTCCATCAATGATAGACTGGATTAAAAAAATGTGGCACATATACACCATGGACTATGCAGCCATAAAAAAGGATGAGTTCATGTCCTTTGTAGGGATATGGATGAAGTTGCAAACACTTTATTTCTAAGAGTTTGGAACAAACATTTTTTAAAATAGGTTTTTGATAAATGACTTTGCATTTCCCAAAGCTGGGAATATGCACTGGTCATGATTCTCATGTATAGATCACAGAAGCAAAAGGATTACTCTTCAAAATTAGACATTTGTGTTATTTACTAATATGAAATTATCATGGTCTTCCATGCACAGCAAATATCCAACACAATGCTGTTTTTTAATAAGCAAAGCTCACAGGCAAGAGCATTGTCCAAAATAGGAATGTTCACATACTATCAGTTAAGAGCACTCTCTTGATTTTCTTGCTAAAACAAGATTATTCCATAAAAATTAATATTCTGAAAACATTTATTTACTTCAATAATTTTAAGAGGGCTTAAAATATTAGAATACTAAAATTTTCCTATTGTTAATAAACCATAATTTTGAGATCCCAATAAAACTGCTGACTTAATGGTGATATTAATTATCTTTATTAGCCATTTATTTTCATGGTTTAAAGTAGGAGTTTGTGCTAACAAAGGGCTGCACAAAAGTGCAAAACAGTCATAAAAACCCAGTGTTTTGACTCTCTTAATTTCATTACCCATAGAAAATTGAAACAAATGTAGTCATTCTTATTTTAATGATTTATAACGGTGAACTTTGCAAATTTACCAGATACAGCAATAAATATTTGTTACTGAAGTATTTACTAAATAACTGGCATTGATCCCAAGAATTATCCTAAAGGGATTACATACACCAAGAATAAAAGTACAAAATTTATGAATACACCTGCCCTGTCTAATACAGTAACCACCAGCCACAAGCAGGTATTGAGCACCTGAAATGTGGCTATTGCAACTGAGAAATTAAATTTTGAATTTTACTGAATTTCAATTAATATCAGTTTAAGTAGCCACATGTCGTCAGTTGCCATCATATGGGACAGTGCAGGTCTAGAATCACCTGCCATTTTATCTTTAATGTCCTTTAAAAGTCTCAGGCTTTCTCAGCCTTCTCTTTATGACATTGACATTTTTAGAGAATATACTTGATAAGCCATTTTTATAGCTTCTTTTCCTTGGTTGGAAATTCTTTTCTGGAACCTATCTTTGTATTAAGTTTGCAGTGGGTTTTTCTATCTGCATATCCTGGGAGCTTTAGCAGTAGTTATGAAGGTAATCAGTCCATAAAGAATGTTACAAGAGATACAATGCATATGTAGAGATTTCTCTTAATACGGAAAACTCCTGAAGTCAAAGAAGAGCAGATAATGGAAGTATGGACTTGACGTATACATCTCAAGGATGTGGGAGATTCTGGGGTAGCTATTGATGAGGAAAATAAGCAAAGAAACGAACTGTGAGATCTGGTAAAACCTCATCATATGAATAGGAAGAATTAGGTGCCCCAGTGAAGAAAAAAAAAAAAAGTGAAGAAATGATAGTCTAGGCTCACGCCTAGAATCCCAGGACTTTGGGAGGCCAAGGCAGGTGAATCACCTGAGGTCAGGAGTTCAAGACCAGCCTGGCCAACATGGTGAAACCCTGTCTTTACCAAAAACACAAAAATTAGCTGGGTGTGGTGGTGCATCCTTGTAATCTCAGCTACTTGGGAGGCTGAGGCAGGAGAATTGCTTGAACCCGGGAGGCGGAGGTTGCAGTGAGCCAAGATCACACCACTGCACTCCAGCCTGCGCAACAGAGTAAGTGAGACTCCGTCCAAAAAAAAAAAAAAAAAAGAAAGAAAGAAAGGAAGGAAGGGAGGAAGGAAACTAACTGTGCTTAATTTCAACAGTTTATAATCACCTTAATAATGAAGCTGTAAGTACCACAGCTCTGCTATATGACTGGCTGATATAGAGAGATAAAACAGATACATAAAAGCCATCCAAGGAAATGATACCATTAATCATTTTTAGTAGTATAGGAAGACCAAAAGGAATTTCTATAAAAAGAAAGTAGATGGGGAAAATCAAGAAACCTTTTACAGAATCACCATAGATGTGATTTGAATCAAAAACCAAATTGTCTATGTTGCTACGTATGATTCTATTGAGAGCTTAGATGTTTAAAAACGTAATATTTGCACAACCCTATAAATATACCAAAACCACTGAGTGCACTTTATAAGGTAATGTTTGTGATGAGCTATATGTTAGTAAAGTTGCAACAAACAATAAAACGTAAAAGAAAATAAATCAGCAAGGGAAAAGAAGTCCCTCTTCTTAAAGGAGGATAGTTGAATGCAGGTTGAGGTAAAGACTTGGGAGAGTTGGCCGGGTGTGGTGGCTCATGCCTGTAATCTAGCACTTTGGGAGGCCAACGCGGGCAGATCACCTGAGGTCGGGAGTTCGAGACCAGCCTGATCAACATGGCGAAACCCCGTCTCTACTAAAAATATAAAATTAGCCAGGCACGGTGGCACGTGCCTGTTATCCCAGCTACTCGGGAGGCTGAGGCAGGAGAATTGCTTGAACCCAGGAGGTGGAGGTTGCAGTGAGCCAAGATTGCACCTCTATACTTCAGCGTGGGCAACAAGAGTGAAACTCCATCTAAAATATATATATATATTTGGGAGAGTTGAGTATCTCTGTTCAATCAATGGAGATTCTTTGATGGAGAACTATGTTGGATGGAAGAGTCATTATGGAGAGGACTTTCAAGAAAGCGGTAAAACAATGAGGGGAGGCCCTGCATAGGTGAAACATTGACATTTAAGAGCCCTCAAGGTCAGAGCATCCCAAAAGGACTTTGCCAGATAAGAAGTATGAAGAGCAGGCTTTTGTTTCCTGTGGTATTTACTATGCCCCGTCTCTTTTTCAGTCTTACCGTGCTTTAGTAAATGTTGCATTTCTCATTAATTCTTTCCCATCAATGTGGACTCTTTTGGTAGAAATTAAAAGGGGACTGAAATTGACCCCTGGGTTGATTCCATACAAAAATATACTATGTTGGAAAGCTGGAGCTGAGAACTAAGGAGATAAAGGAGTGTCAATCTATCAGAATGATAAAAAATTCCAGGGAAATTAAGACTTTCGAGAACTTTGGAATTGTAAAGTGTCAAGTTGAGATCTACAAGTGGTGGAGGGGAACCAAGCTAATATTTGGGATATAGGTAGAATAAATAAGCTTGTACAAAGGTAAATATATATGATATGATGAAAGGAGGGAGTTGGAAAACATGAAGGCCCAGAGAAGAGTGGAAGGACCTAGATGACCCAAGAAGAGTAGTCGGATTTGCTGGACTGGATGATAGAAGGAGGTAGGTTCACCTTCTTCTGTCTACTCCCCCGATTTTAAGTAAGAACGCTTTGTGAGTATTCCATAGCTCAGCCATGAGGATCTAGAACCTGCCACTAGAGTGTGTTAAGTGCTTCAGATGATGAAGGGCTATTTTTTTATTCTTTTTTTCTAAGCACCATAACTCTGTTATAAGACTGGCTGATATAGAATGATAAAACAGATATATAAAAGCCATTTAGGAAAAATACCATTAATTATTTTTAAGAGGAACTTCTGTTATGTAGATCTCACAGAAATACATAATACGTAATAAAAATATGTAACAGAAATTCTATTATATTTTATGTAAATTATGTAAATATACAAAACAGAATTTACCACTTGAAGTGTATGATTCAGTGTCCTTGGGTGCATTCACA
The DNA here is from genome assembly GCF_000001405.40 of Homo sapiens. Classification (NCBI taxonomy): domain Eukaryota; kingdom Metazoa; phylum Chordata; class Mammalia; order Primates; family Hominidae; genus Homo; species Homo sapiens. The sequence continues at coordinate 23,762,376 of NC_000006.12, forward strand.
TGGTTGTGCACTTATTACCTCTATTTATTCCAGAATTTTTCATCATCTGATACTGAAACTCTGTACCCATTAAAGAATAATTCCCCATGCTTCCCCTCCATTTGTCTCCTGATAACATCTCCTTTGTTTCTATCAATTTGCCCATTTTACATACCCTATATAAGTAAAATCATACAATATTTGCCCTTTGGTGTCTGGCCCATTTCACTAAGCATAATGTTTTCAAGGCTTATCCACATGGTAGTACGTATCAGAATTTCACTTCTTCTTAAGACTGTATAGCATTCAGGCTCTCTCTTTTAATCAGTAGCACCCATGGCTGAGCTCAAGCTTGACGGCTAAGGGCAATGATCCATTTTCTGCTTTTTTTTTTTTCTTTGAGATGAAACTCCTTACGTTACTATCCTGCCCACAGAAGAACCAATGTTAGTTTAGAAAAATCAAGTCATGAATCAGGAAGGGACATCCTAGACTCACATTCATCAGAGACTGACTTTCTGTTGTTACTATTGTTCCTTTTCCCATATTTCTTAATTACTTTGACACCAAAAGACATCTAATAAGCAAACTCTCAGCAAAGAATAGAACATCAGCTTTCTAGGGAAGTACTTTGAGCATGGCAGAGATTCAAGTCAGGATCAGAGTTCCTATTCAAAACCGGCAGATCATGTACTCAATGTGGTAAAGAGCCCCAAGGTCAAACCCAAAATACAGTGAATTAGGAGCCATAGATTGGATTATTACGAGAGTTCAAGATACCTAGATGAGAACAAAGTCTCTCAATGCTTACTCACTAGGCATTTTCCCATTTCAGGTGTCCATAGGTCAAACTTTTCCACTGCGTTAAGGCTTAATACTACAGCAGAGCTGAGCCTGTGAAAGCATCTGGTGAGATGCTAGAGCTCCAGGTCTGTCCTCTGCAGGCAGAATTCTATCTGATGCAGCATATATATACCTGCAGTTCCAAGATTCTGTGCTCTTCAATAACAGAGGCCTACTAGCAGGAAAAAACAAAAACAATTAAAGATCTTGTAAAGATATCTTTCTTTGAGGGATTTTTTTTTTTTTGAGATGGTATCTCACTCTGTCACACAGGCTAGAGTGCAATGGCCATCATCTCAGCTCACTGCAACCTCCACCTCCTGAGCTCAAGCGATTCTCCCACCTCAGCCTCCCAACTAGCTCAGACCACAGTCTCACACCGCCATGCCTGACTAATGTATTTTTGGTAGCAACATGGTTGCACCATGTTGGCCAGGCTGGTCTAAAACTTCTGAGTTCAAGTGATCTGCCCACCTCAGCCTCCCAAAGTGCTGGATTACAGGCATGAGCCACCACTCCCAGCCCTGAGTTTTGCAAAAACAAAGCAACAACAAAGTTATTTTTAAAATGGAAAAAGTACAGGAAAAAAACATATAGACCCCTTTACTCAATGTAGAAAGTCATATGAAAAATAGACATCCATACTTGCCTAGAGAGAGGGAGTGAGAATTGGGTCCCAAACTCTCATAATTTTCTTGTCTTTCGGTGCTAATGCAGAAGCAGATGCCTCTAAAGGTGACCATTGAAACCTAATGGTCTCTTCAACCCTAAGGTTTTCCAAAGTTCATTTTAATTTACCATTTCCATGAGGTGCTGTATTCACTGTATTTTGCTCTACCTGTTCCCAGGTCCCACCTTAAATCCAGATTTACTTCCAGCCTCAACTTCAATTCACTTTACCTCTCCTACTATCTTCTTCTCTTACCTAAATTTTGGCCTGTAGATTATCTTCCTCTAGAACCTAGAATAATAAATGATTTCTAATCTTGACTACAGTTCACCAACTGGAATCACCCTTGTAAAAGCAGCTAGGAAGCTTGTGAGGTTCCCCATGTTCCAAAGATCTCAAGGAACCTTTTCTCTTCCAGCTTCCAACATTCTCTAGTACAACATGGCCTCCCAAGGACATACTCCCGTTAGCAATGAGCTCAGCCAAAGGACACACATAGACTCCCATGGCCCTCTGTCTTGAAAGGCCAATGCTGCAAGGATCTAAGGAAGGTTATGTGGAGACATCCAACAAGCTTCCATTTAAAAGACCCAGCAAAGTTTCAGTTAGGAAATGTTCTAGGGAAGTGTCTGAACACAGCCTACACAGGGGACCAAAAGATGTCTTCATCAATCCAGCCAATGAAGGGTCTGTGGTCTGTGTGAGAAAGAGACAAAGAGTGAAGACTTGCTGAGCAGCTCGAGGAATTTCTTACCAAAGGGCTCAAGGAAATACCAAGACCAGAAGCAACTAGAAAAAAAATGGAAATTATTCTTAGAAAGTACATTGGGGCAGATCAATCAGGATAGGATTTGTCTGTGTATATGTTGTTCATGGATTGCTGCCATTTATACATCGTCACTCTCTGGAATGCTCTAGACCCACTTGAATACAAGAATTTGACACTTTTGATGGGTTGGGAATATCTCCTGAATATCTCTTAGAAGTTTCCTTCCTTAATCTGAGTAATTGACAAGTGCTGGAAGTCCATATTATGAGGTCAAATGAGGAAGGCATGGATCCTATCTCCCAAGATTATGTAACCTATTTGTACCTTTAAGTTGAGAATGGCTCTTTCTGGGGCCTTCCCCAGCTTGCCTTTTCTTCCACAGTTACCCATGTTCTGTGACTGATTCCAAGAAGCTGAGCACCCTTGTCTCACTTAGGCAAGTCAAGGATACTAGACGATCTCTCCAGCACCACTACCAAATTTTGTCCTTATCCTGGATAGTTCTCTTTCTGATCTCTCACTTATAGGTAATCTAGTCCAGATGGTATCAAGACAGTCATCATTTCACATCGATCTTGAACTCCAAGAGGCCACTCAATTTAGGAAGGATATAAAACCAACTTTCAGTCCTTTGCACCTGGCATTATGGAAATTCCTGGTAAGGGGAACTGTACTGATGGTCAATAGATGAAGTCCAGAGATGACAAGTCAAGCAATGGCAGAAAATTTTCCAAGGGATAAAAGTGGGAGTATAGCCGCAAGCGATGCCAGCCACGGAATTGCCAATACACGGACAAAAAAGAATGCTGCATATGAATTTAGGGATTTCTTCAAGGAGCAGAGTCCAGTGAAATAAACCAACTAAGAAATCTTCACTCCTCAATCACCATCAGGAGATACACTGGGATCCAGTAAACTGAAAACTCCCACAAGCCAATTTGGATCTGCACAGCTACATAGTAACCAAAGAACACCCTCCACCAGAGAAAAGAAACAGCATATTCATACCATAAAAGGCAGCTTTCTGGTGAGTCAGATTGAAGATCCAGACTTAGAACCAGCCTCAGCTTTGTCCCACTGAGTAGCCCCTTGCCTTAGGCAACTTAACTTCCAAGGACTTAACAGTGCCATCCCAGGGCATGCCTAGGGAAGACATGCCAGCTTCCCTGGTGCTGTTAAGTCTACACAGTGTCCATGTAAGCAGTCTGGGGCAGCTGGAGCTCCAGATCCCTAAACTCCAGCCCTCAGGAAAAAGTGAAGACAAGAATTTATCCCCAGTTTAAGTAAAAAAGAGACCTGGAGGACTCAAAGCAGGAAAGCATGGAGGAGGTGGTAATGTAGGGTTGCAAATTTCCCCTGACTAAAGAACCACGTGGCCCAAGCCAGGGGATTAGCAGGTAACTTATGAGCAAGATTTTCCAGTTCTACCTCAGAAATGACAAGTTACTCAAGAAAGTCACATGGAAAATGGATGAAGGAGCTTTTTCAGTGCCTTCATACCAAGAAAAAAGGCAAAGGAAAGGAAGCCCCACTCAGGAAACCAAGTTGTCGATGTCAGCCTCTGTGAATTGAAGAGCCCAAGTCCAAAAGGGAATGAAGCTGTCTTTATGCACAGGGGGAGATTCAAGTTCAGGAGCTCATGACAGCCACTGACCAGAGCCAAGGAAAGAAACTGGGGTATAGGGTTAGACTTTGTGCCTGAGAGGAAAATCAATACATGGGAGAACTCCAGCCCAGGCAGAGCCTCTAAAGGGACATTCCTGAGACTGCAGGGATCTCTCATATTCAGAGCAAGGAAAAGTGGTAAGTGCCATGTTCTACACTCAATGAACTGTTTCCGATGGTCATTATTAAATTTCTCATTAATAATTTTTATATTGATCACATGCTGAAATTATAATTATCCAAGCAGGGGCAGAGGGAAGGACAGACATCTTTAAAAAAATCTGAAGATTCAGGCATCAGCAGCTATGTCTAGGCTCTCTATTTATTTATTTATTTTCAGATGGAGTCTCACTCTGTCACCCAGGCTGGAGTGCAATGGCGTGATCTTGGCTCACTGCAACTTCTGCCTCCTGGGTTCAAGCGATTCTCTTGCCTCAGCCTCCTGAGTAGCTGGGATTACAGGCGCACGCCACCACACCAGGCGAATTTTGTATTTTTAGTAGAGACAGGGTTTCACCATGTTGGTCAGGCTGGTCTTGAACTCCTGACCTCGTGATCCTCCCACCTCAGCCTCAGACAGACACAGGCTGTCTCTTTTTTACGCCCATGTCTCTGCCAGCACATCGAATATCTTAAGCCACCTTGAACTGCTCAAGTTGCTGTCTTCAGGGATGTCTCTTCAATTCAGTCAGCAAGTCTCTCAAACTCTTCCAGGGAGCAATAATTTTCTCAAAGAAAAAATTTAGTCCACGCTGAGAAAATGTATTATCTCTCATGTAGGTAAATTACACAATGCTTAATTTCAGTAATTTATTTTAATATTTAAATTATAAGCATCATAACTGTTACATGACTGGCTAAGAAGGATGTTGTGTGTGTATATGTATTCACACACATATACATATTTACATAAAGATAGAAATATATATTTGTATTTATACATAAACCAATACATAAATATATTAATATATATAAAGATTTTAGTGTGTGTGTGTATATATATATATATATATATACACAGAAACAGCAAGAAAAAGAGACTTCAAATGTATTGTACATGCATGTTTGCATTAAACAAAAATGACTGTTTTTTAAAATATAAAGAGCACAATAAGTTTTAGTGAAATATTACAAAGTAGATGGGAAAAATTCAGAATCCTTAATCATAGATGTGATTCAAAACAACTGAATGTTATTTCTACATATAATTCCAACTAGTTTTGTTAGAGAATGGGTTATATTAAAGAGATAACATTAACGTGCTTTCTCATTTCCCAGTTTACAATAATTTGAGAGCGCAAGATCATATTTACATTCATTTTATTTACTAAAAACTATCTCTGATAAAATTTAATTAGCATATTTAGAAATCTCCCACTGCAGGGAAAAAAAAAAAACCTGTGGCTATAGAAAAGTATTTAAATATAATAGTTATTGAACTGACTAAAAATAAGACTTGGGAGAGTTGAATTGCTCTGTATACTAATGATACTGAAGAGCTGGCTCTTTGTTTGGAGGTGTCTTAGCGCACCATGGCTGAGCTCAAGCTTCACTTCCAGTGGCATTGATTCCAGCTTCCTGTGTCCAGTAGCTCTCCCCTTTCTGTTCCTCTCCTACTGACAGAGGAATCTACTCTTACTTGTATTTGGAAAATGGAGGCACAAATCAGGTAAGGAAATCCTGCATTCACATCCAGCAAAATTTACTCTATTTTCCTGTTCCTCTTGACATTTCTAAATCCATTTTGTTGTTTCAGAATTACACTCAGATGGGAACTCTAAGAGGAATAGAAGATCACCTTTTTAGAGCTGCTGTGTCCAAGAAGGTGTCCACCACCCATATGGGATTGTTGAGCACTTCAAATGTGACTAGTCCTAATTGAGATAATGTTGGAACTGTCAAATGTACAATATATTTCAAAGATTTAATATAAAAATTTAAATTTCTAATTTTTATGTTGATTAGATGTTGAAATTAGTATTGTGTTACATAGACTACATCACTAAAACTAATTTCCTGCATTTCTTTATATTCTTTTTAATGTGACAACTGGAAATTTTAAAATTAAATATGTGGTTTTATTTTTTATGTTTTTTCAACAGCACTGAAGTCATTTATAAAGTAAGAACTACAAATGACAAGACACACAAAAAATGTTATCTTCACAGTTAAACTAGATAAAAATAACATAAGTTTCAAGATATGAAAAATATTAATGCCGATTAATAAGGAGATGTTTATACATTACTGATGAGATTATAAATTGTTAAAATATTTCTGAAAAGAAATGGAAGTAAATTCAGCAGCCTTTAAAAAATGGACTCCTTTTTTACCAAATAACTACCACTAGGAGATGCTTCTAAAGAAATAGGTTGAAATACACAGAATTATGTACAAAGATGTCAGTTATAGTTTTATCTCAGAAACATATTACAACAATCTATGTTATTAAAAACACGGGAATATTTAGAGTTTACTCACATGATACAATATCCATATTCTTGTCACAGTACATTTGTAATACTAGTAATACATATTCATGTATTGAAATACAAAAATATAATCATGCTGATATGTTAGTGTGGTTAACATTTGTTTTCTTTTTTCTTTTATACTGGTTTGTTTTTACAGACTTTCTAAAATTGAGCATGGATTATAGAAAGTGAAGAAAAACAGACCAAGATGGGTGTGGTATGTAGCAGTTTCACTCAACACAGTCTCTATATTTTTTCCCTTTCAAATTTCCTAAACCTAGAAATGTCTTAAATAGGTATGTGGATGATTTGCATAATTTCTTTTGAACTCATTTTCTTTCATCTCTCCCTACTTTTTTCCTACCAAAGCAAGTCGTTACTGAAGAACATTTTAATCACAGATAAGCTCTCAAATGTTTCTTTGAAAACATCAATGTTAATTTTAAAATAAATGCTTTTCATCTCTCTTATTTAGATGTTAACATGTCTGTGATATTTTTGATTGATATAAAAACAATCAGCTCACTAAATTTACATATTTTATCTCCAACTCTCATCTTAATTTATCTTCATTTCATTAACTAAAAACTGTATATCTGATAAAATTTAATTAATATATTTAGAAATCTCCCACTGCATGAAAAAAAAAAACCTGTGGCCGTAGATAAGTATTTAAATATAACAATAGTTATTTAATTGACTAAGAATAAAAACTTAGGTTGATCAATAGCAGCACCGAGAAATACAGGTCAAGATATTTCTAACTAGTCTCCGATGTTGACCAAGAATAAACTTAAATATCTGGTTCTTGCTTTTTAATTGATTTATAGTAGAAAGAAATGTTATAATAATCTAGCTTATTCCTCTTATTCCAAAATTTCTATTTTGCTAATATTGGCTCTGTCATCCTTGGTTATCCTTGGAGAAATGCTATCAGAGTTGATCATTACAGCTATGGCACACAAGGCCAGATTTAAAATTGACTTATTGTGGCAGAGGATCTGTGAGTTCAAAATTTGCTTGAAGACAAAGGTCATTTCAAAATCACTGAGTAGGATTCAAGTTTTCTGCATGAGATAACCAAACGAAGGTTATGTGGTTATTCTCGGACTCCCAGAGAAACTTAGAATGAATATAAATTGGAAAAGGCCCAGGTGAACATGTATTTGCATACCTTTTTGATTGTTGTGATAGCAAGTGCTTGCCTATCATTTTCTGCACATTTCTTAATGACATTGCTCTTGAGCAATACATGGCTTTGGTACTATGTGACATTTAAGTCCAACCACAGCTCTAGCCCTACAAGGTAATAAGTTAAGCAGTAAGACAACAGACAACCATCATAATTATACTGGCATCCTTGACAACTGGCACAGTGTCTATAGTAGGCACTCAACTAACGCTATTATTCCCTAATGCATAATATTAAAAATCATATAAACAGTCCTTCAAAAAGCAATGTTCGGGAAAATATTATCAAGCCCACAAGTTGGTGGAATTATACAATAGCTACATTTCTTAAAGAAGATGTTACATATAATAAAATCCATTTAAGTGCACAGTTCAATAAGATTTGGCAATGTGTATACTCATGCCATAAATTTCCTTCAAAACACTGATTTAACATTATTGCAATTATTTTGTTTTGTTGTGACTTAATTCCATTCAATTCAAAGTACTTCTTAATTTGTCTTGTGATTTCCTCTTCAACCCATGACTTTCTTTTAATATCTAAGATAGCTTCCTGGTTTTTATTTCTAATTTAATTTTCTTGTGGACAAATTACATATTCTATATAAGTTCTTGTAAATGTATTGAATTTTGTTTTATTTCTTTGAACAGAGTCTAGTTTTTCTTAATGTTCCATGTCACCTGAAAAGAACGTACTTTCTTATTTTTGTACTGTTCTGTAAATATCAATTAGGTCACGTTGGTAGTGTTGTTTAAAGTTTTCTATCCTCTTATTGAGTTTTCTGTTGACTCAGAACTTCAATTACTGAGCTGGCATGTTGAAATCTCCATATACAACTGTGGTTTCATTTATTTTTCCTTTCAGTTCTCTCAGCACTTGTTTCACACATTTAGTAGTTCTCTTACAGGTGCATATCTGCTTAGGATTAGTATGTTTTCTTGATGAATGGTCCTTTTCATCATTTTTATACATTAAACTTTATCCTTGGTAATATTTTTATCCTGTGGTATGATTTATGTACCAGACCAACTTTGTCATGATTAGTAGGTGGAGATTATATAATTTCCCATCCTCTTGCTTTTAAATTATCGGCATGCTTATGTTTAAAATGCATTTCTTATAGGAAGCAGAGGTGTATTTTGTTTTTGTTTTTTTATCCAGTCTGACAATTTATTCTGCCTTTTAACTGGAGGATTTAGTTCATTTACCTTCAGTGTAATTATTGATAAGGTCCAGCATATTGCTATTTAAAAATCTGTTCCATCTGTTTTTTGTTTCTTTCCCCTGCCCAAACTGCTTACATTCATTTGTTTTAATTGAGTACTTGAATCAAATTTTGGCCATATTAGTATACATCTCTATATTCTTATTTTTGCTGGCTACTCTGAAATTTACAGTAGCATTCGTAACTCATTACAGTACACCTTCAAATATGTCATCTCATGTATGATGTAAAATTCTACAACAGCACACTTAATTTTCCCACTTCCAGACTCTATGCTGTTACTGCAATACATTTTACTTTTACATATACTATAAAAATCATAGTATATATTATTTTTAAGTAGTCATGTTTTTACTTTTAGAATTACTATATAGAATTGACTTCATTTTAAGTGCACAGTTGTATGGATTTTAACACGTGTATAGTTGTGTAACTACCACCTTAACTGGAATACAGAGAAATTCCAAATAAAAATTCCTTTTGCTACCCATTTGCATATATACCCTGTGACAGTGTCAACTTGTGTCAACTTGACTTCACTGGGTACTCCGACATTTGGTCAAATATCACTCTAGGTGTGTCTGTGAGCCTAATTCTGGATGAGATTCATATTTGAACCAGCAGACTGCCTAAAGCACGTTGCTCTCCTGGTGTGGGTGGGTCTTATCCAATCAGTAGCAGGCCTGAACAGAATGAAAAGGCTTATCTTCTCCTAAGAGAGAATTTCCTCCTGCCTAACCAACTTTGAACTGGATCATCATATTTTTTTCTGGCTTCAAAACTGAACTGAAATACTGGCTCTTCCTGAATCTCACATCAGCCTGCCTTCAAATCAGAACTGTATCACTGGCTCTCCTCAGGCCTTGGGAGTCAAACTGGAACTACATCATTGGCTCTCCTGGGTCTCTAGCTTGCCAAACCCTGAAGATCTTGGGACTTTTAAGCTTCCATAATCATGGGCTACTTTTAATTCCTTATTGTAAATCTCTTTCCGTGTATATGTTCATCCTATTGGTTCTGTTTCTTTGGAGAACCCTATTTCCTGAAAACCACTGTTCTACTCCCCATCACTATATTAATATCATTTTGAGAAAGTCATATAAATTGAATATTAGTGCACATAATTTTTTGAGTTTATCATAATGTGAACTTCTTCCACATAAAATAATGCCTTTGAAATTCAACCAAGTTGTTGGATGCATCAATAGCTTCTTTACATTGTTCAGGAATAGTTTATTGTAGCGATGTGCAGCAGTTTGTTTATCCAATCACTAGTTGAGGGGCATTTAAATATTTTTTTAGTTTTGGGCAATTGTAAAGATAGATGCTATGAACATTTGCATGTAGAATTTTTTAGTGTGAGCATAGTTTTTCATATGCATAGGACAGATATCCAGAAATGGGACTGATGGGTCACACGGCATGTGTATGTTTAACCTTATAAGAAAAATGTAGGCTGGGCTCAGTGGCTTACCCCTGTAATCCCAGCACTTTGGGAGGCCGAGGTGTGTGGATCACCTAAGGTAAGGAGTTTGAGACCAGACTGGCCAACATGTTGAAACCCCATCTCTAACTAAGAATACAAAAATTAGCCAGGCGTGGTGGCAGGCGCCTGTAATCCCAGCTACTCAGGAGGCTGATGTAAGAGAATCGCTTGAACCCGGGAGGCAGAGGTTGCAGTTGGCCGAGATCGCGCCACTGCACTCCAGCCTGGGCAACAGAGCAAGATTACATCTCAAAAAAGAGAAAATGTCAATTTTTTAGAGTGATTGCACCATTCTTTGATCCTTTCAGCAAAGTATGAGAGTTCCATGTGCTCCCTATCCTTGCCAGAACCTGTCTGATCTGTTCTGTGCTGCAATTTGTGTATTTCCTATTACAATGTATTTGAATTCACTGATGTTTTACTTGCAGTGTCTAATCACCTCATAAGACCATTCCATCAATTTTTTATTTAAAACATTTCATTTTTCATCCCCAGAAATTCCATTTGGGTGATTCTCACATTCTACTTTCTCTGCTTGTTTTGTTTACATTTTACTTTAAATATTTATACTTAATTATCATAGCTGTTTTAATGTTAACTTCATATTCTGTCGTTTCCAGGTCTGTTTCTACTGGCTGATATTTCTCCTGGATAGTGGGCACCTTTTCCTGTTTCTTTGCATGTATATGAATTTTTCTTGGAGGCTGGAAATTGTGAACATTGTGCTGTTCAGTGTTCCAACTTTGTTTCCTCCTTTTAAAGAATGTTGTACTTTATTTGGTTAGTTTTTAAAGCTTGTTTTCATGATTTGTTTTGGCTTGTTTGAAACATCTGTTAGAATAAAGAGTAACCCCTAATCTAGGTATAGTTTAGCCCTAAGACTAAGATGTGACCCTTTGTTATCTCTACTGAAAGCCCAAGTGTTCAGTGGATTCTCTACTATGGCTGGTTGGAACTCAAACACCTTCTTGCCCTTATGTAAGTCTTAGTAATGTTTTAACTTATACCTTTCTAGTAGTTGTACTTTTGCACATTTTGTGAAGTTTCAGCCTAAAGTTGTGCAGCTTGGTATTCTGAAACATTTTCTCTGTATAACTTCCACCTCTTTAATATTCCACCACACCTCAACCTTCTCCAATGGAACTACCTATCGGCCAGCATCTGACAACAGCTGGCTCATATATTTTACTCAATTTTTTAGTTGTTTATGACAGGAAGACAAGTCTGAATGATACCAGTTACTCCAATCTGGCTGGAAATGGTTGCTACTAATAGCTACTGTTTGGTCCAAGAAAAATATCATCAAGGCTTGAAAAATCCCTGAAAATATGATACAACTTTTTAAAAGGAGGACATATCAATAACTTCATACCTACAGAAAATGAGTCATTTTCTTTAAAAGCTAAAATTGAAAAATCTAGTTAATATATGTGTCTATTCTGATTAAAGGAAGCAATATAGTAAGTTTAGAATTTTTTCAAGAGCTTACCTTTGAAATTTAAGATTCCACTTGGTATCACAGAAAACAGGACTTTATTAAGCAGTTGCAAATTTTGGGAACAATATTTATTTCATTCTGAGAGTCTATGATTTAGAATTCCTCTTACAATGTGATTACTGGGTCTATGCGGTGGCTATCCAAAAGCTCTTACTTAGTCAAGGTCTGCAAAAAACCTGCACAATATGCTGATCCCCTTGACGAGCCCCAGCAAGAAGAGAAATCTGAGTGATCATAAACAAATGACATGGATTTATTTCAAGTAACAGGGATGAACACCATATTTATTTGTGAAGTACTTGAGTGTCCTTCTGGTTTGCTACATGTTCTGCCTAGGAAAATAAACACATGCAACAGCCACATTCCTTTCTCATTAGGATAAAGATTGGAGGGAGAAAAAGGAATACGAAGACCTTCAGGCTTTTAAAACAAATGTTATTTATTGCCACAAACATAAAGGTATTTACTTTTACCAAATTCTTTCATCTTTTCAAATAACCTGTACAAGCTACCTGCCTTTAAACATGGATATTTTTAAATAAAACCACAAGACCCTATTTGACTATTTACTTGCAAATGGTTAACTTGTTTTTCAAGATACTTGCTTCAAAGCATTTGCAATGCTTTTTCATTTTACCTGTACTTAATGTTAAATCATTAATATTCTTATAAAAATGGTTAATGCTTTCTAGGCTCATAATGTAACTTTTTGTATGGTTATCCTTTACTCATATTTCAAAAATGCATTAAACTTTAATTTTACATTTGCTAGGTCATTGTTCAAGATGACAAGCCACTAAACACATTTTTTATTTATTTGTATTATAGAACTTAAACTGGCTTTCCACTGTGAACATGAACAAAACAAAAACAAAAAACTGATATTCTTATTTCCCTTGAAAAAAATATAATTTCTTTTGGAACACTATTCAAGTAAAATAAATCTTCTACTTGTCTCAAATAAACCAATTGAATTAAGTACATTCTCTGCAGTATAATTTACAATAGCCTTAAAACAACTTTCCATTGTCTCAATGCTAAAAATGAATTAGTCATAGCTTGGAAGTTGGCTAAGTATGACCCAGTTAGTGTCACAGCATGAGGCAGTCTGAGAAAAGTCAGTATCTTAGACTGACCTGGCCCATTGGAAAGCTGCAGGAGGTAGGGAGATATCCTCAGCTGCAGATGTCGAGAGGTATTCGACTCTGCCAGAAGGATTTGTTCAGGAGACTACGCAATGCAGTGAGCATCAGGAAATCTCATACAGAGCCACATAGTTGCCAACACAGCAGGCACGTAGAAATAGAGGCACCGATGCTAAAGAATGTAAGAGCAGATGAAACAAGTGCCAGCACATACACCATAAGCACTGTCTTCCTTTTGGAAGTTCACCTGGCATTACCAAGGGGAGCACAGAGGCAGGGTTTGAAAGGTAACAATCCAGTTATATGACCTGGAGCAGAGTGAAAATGGAACCCAAGTTGAAACTGCAGTAGATATACAGGGTACCTTTATGTTGACTCCAACTGTGGAGGTTAATAAAGTTGTTAAAATTGTTGCTATAAAATATTGGAATTAACCCTAGAGTCTGGGACAATCAAGGCTGGGTGGTCATCAGAATAGAACGAACCAGAATAACTACAGCCAGCATTCTACGTTACTAGTACCTGTAACCAAGGTTTAGAATATATAACACATTACATGGATCAATACACTGAACTGCAAAAGTAACTTACTGTAAAAAAAAGAGGGTCATCCCCTATAAAAGTGTCTCTTCATAGGCTAAGTTTGCATGTTATAGAGACTTTACCTGACAACTGAGATAGTTATTAGTAAACACGGCCATCTAACTCTGCTGCATAAACACAAAGTGGTTTTTTCTAGGAATAAAAATTATATAATATAAAAACAATAACTTTGGATATGAAGCACTTACTATGGACCATATACATTGCCATAAAATTTATATTTTTAATATCATTTTAATGCTCTGAACTGCTTTTGAAATAGATGATACTCCTAACTTAGAGATTGCCAATAGGGTCTTAGAAAATTTAAAATCCTGTCAATAGTCACAAAACTAACAAAATTAGACCCAGAATTTGAATCTGACCTTATATTTAAACACCAAAGTTGATATTCTTAAGCTCTAAGCTCCTAAATCCTTCAAAATGAATAAATGACAGAATGAATACTACCTATCATTTATTAAATGTCTACTGTCATGTACCTTACATGTTCTAAATGAGTTTTAGATTAGATTGAGAAAAAATGAATTATGTCTTGAATATGACTATTAGAATAATAAGTATCACATGGTCAATAATTAAAAGTATATAAAATGTTCTGAACCATAAATAGTTCAAACCCAGAAATAGCTGCTCTCTTTCCTTTTGCATGTTGTCAAGTAAACTGAGGGTCAATTATATACAGAATTTTGGGTTTCAAAGATAGAAAAACTAAATTGAGAGGGCAATAAATGTAAAAGAACAGAAATTATAACAAACTGTCTCTCAGACCACAGTGCAATCAAACTAGAACTCAGGATTAAGAAACTCACTCGAAACCACTGAACTACATGGAAACTGAACAACCTGCTCCTGAATGACTACTGGGTACATAACAAAATGAAGGCAGAAATAAAGATGTTCTTTGAAACCAACGAGAACAAAGACACAACATACCAGAATCTCTGGGACGCATTCAAAGCAGTGTGTAGAGGGAAATTTATAGCACTAAATGCCCACAAGAGAAAGCAGGAAAGATCCAAAATTGACACCCTAACATCACAATTAAAAGAACTAGAAAAGCAAGAGCAAACACATTCAAAAGCTAGCAGAAGGCAAGAAATAACTAAAGTCAGAGTACAACTGAAGGAAATAGAGACACAAAAAACCCTTCAAAAAATTAATGAATCCAGGAGCTGGTTTTTTAAAAGGATCAACAAAATTGATAGACCACTAGCAAGACTAATAAAGAAAAAAAGAGAGAAGAATCAAATAGATGCAATAAAAAATGATAAAGGGGATATCACCACCGATCCCACAGAAATACAAACTACCATCAGAGAATACTACAAACACCTCTACGCAAATAAACTAGAAAATCTAGAAGAAATGGATAAATTCCTCGACACATACACTCTCCCAAGACTAAACCAGGAAAAAGTGGAATCTCTGAATAGACCAATAACAGGAGCTGAAATTGTGGCAATAATCAATAGCTTACCAACCAAAAAGAGTCCAGGACCAGATGGATTCACAGCCGAATTCTCCAGAGGTACAAGGAGGAACTGGTACCATTCCTTCTGAAACTATTCCAATCAATAGAAAAAGAGGGAATCCTCCATAACTCATTTTATGAGGCCAGCATCATCCTGATATCAAAGCCAGGCAGAGACACAACCAAAAAAGAGAATTTTAGACCAATATCTTTGATGAACATTGATGCAAAAATCCTCAATAAAACACTAGCAAATCGAATCCAGCAGCACATCAAAAAGCTTATCCACCATGATCAAGTGGGCTTCATCCCTGGGATGCAAGGCTGGTTCAACATATGCAAATCAATAAATGTAATCCAGCATATAAACAGAACCAAAGACAAAAACCACATGATTATCTCAATAGAGGCAGAAAAGGCCTTTGACAAAATTCAACAACCCCTCATGCTAAAAACTCTCAATAAATTAGGTATTGATGGGACATATTTCAAAATAATAAGAGCTATCTATGACAAACCCACAGCCAATATCATACTGAATGGGCAAAAGCTGGAAGCATTCCCTTTGAAAAAAGGCACAAGACAAGAATGCCCTCTCTCACCACTCCTATTCAACATAGTGTTGGAAGTTCTGGCCAGGGCAATCAGGCAGAAGAAGGAAATAAAGGGTATTCAATTAGGAAAAGAGGGAGTCAAATTGTCCCTGTTTGCAGATGACATGATTGTATATCTAAAAAACCCCATTGTCTCAGCCCAAAATCTCCTTAAGCTGATAAGCAACTTCAGCAAAGTCTCAGGATACAAAATCAATGTACAAAAATCACAAGCATTCTTATACACCAACAACAGACAAACAGAGAGCCAAATCATGAGTGAACTCCCATTCACAATTGCTTCAAAGACAATAAAATACCTAGGAATCCAACTTACAAGGGACGTGAAGGACCTCTTCAAGGAGAACTACAAACCACTGCTCAATGAAATAAAAGAGGATACAAACAAATGGAAGAACATTCCATGCTCATGGGTAGGAAGAATCAATATTGTGAAAATGGCCATAATGCCCAAGGTAATTTACAGATTCAATGCCATCCCCATCAAGCTACCAATGACTTTCTTCACAGAATTGGAAAAAACTACTTTAAAGTTCATATGGAACCAAAAAAGAGCCTGCATCACCAAGTCAATCCTAAGCCAAAAGAACAAAGCTGGAGGCATCATGCTACCTGACTTCAAACTATACTACAAGGCTACAGTAACCAAAACAGCATGGTACTGGTACCAAAACAGAGATATAGATCAATGGAACAGAACAGAGCCCTCAGAAATAACACCACATATCTACAACTATCTGATCTTTGACGAACCTGAGAAAAACAAGCAATGGGGAAAGGATTCCCTATTTAATAAATGGTGCTGGGAAAACTGGCTAGCCATATGGAGAAAGCTGAAACTGGATCCCTTCCTTACACCTTATACAAAAATTAATTCAAGATGGATTAAAGACTTACATGTTAGAACTAAAACCATAAAAACCCTAGAAGAAAACCTAGGCATTACCATTCAGGACATAGGCATGGCCAAGGACTTCATGTCTAAAACACCAAAAGCAATGGCAACAAAAGACAAAATTGACAAATGGGATCTAATTAAACTAAAGAGCTTCTGCACAGCAAAAGAAACTACCATCAGAGTGAACAGGCAACCTACAAAATGGGAGAAAATTTTCACAACCTACTCATCTGACAAAGGGCTAATATCCAGAATCTACAATGAACTCAAACAAATTTACAAGAAAAAAACAACCCCATCAAAAAGTGGGCAAAGGACATGAACAGACACTTCTCAAAAGAAGACATTTATGCAGCCAAAAGACACATGAAAAAATGCTCATCATCACTGGCCATCACAGAAATGCAAATCAAAACCACAATGAGATACCATCTCACACCAGTTAGAATGGCAATCAGTAAAAAGTCAGGAAACAACAGGTGCTGGAGAGGATGTGGAGAAATAGGAACACTTTTACACTGTTGGTGGGACTGTAAACTAGTTCAACCATTGTGGAAGTCTGTGTGGAGATTCCTCAGGGATCTAGAACTAGAAATACCATTTGACCCAGCCATCCCATTACTAGGTATATACCCAAAGGACTATAAATCATGCTGCTATAAAGACACATGCACACGTATGTTTATTGCGGCACTATTCACAATAGCAAAGACTTGGAACCAACCCAAATGTCCAACAATGATAGACTGGATTAAGAAAATGTGGCACATATACACCATGGAATACTATGCAGCCATAAAAAATGATGAGTTCATGTCCTTTGTAGGGACATGGATGAAATTGGAAATCATCATTCTCAGTAAACTATGGCAAGGACAAAAACCAAACACCGCATGTTCTCACTCATAGATGGGAATTGAACAATGAGAACACATGGACACAGGAAGGGGAACATCACACTCTGGGGACTGTTGTGGGGTGGGGGGAAGGGGGAGGGATAGCATTAGGAGATATACCTAATGCTAAATGACGAGTTAATGGGTGCAGCACACCAGCATGGCACATGTATACATATGTAACTAACCTACACATTGTGCACATGTACCCTAAAACTTAAAGTATAATAATAATAATAAATGGAGCATCCATGCTATGCCACCAAAAGCAGAGAAAGCCAGTGGATCTGAGAGAAGAGAGAAATACTCTTCATCACCTTCACACGAGGGCACCCACCAGTACATTAGACTATGTCCCTAAAATACATAACCATTACTTTTGTGGCAGCCAGCATGGCGTTCCTTCATAAGCAATACCTTTCATTATTGATTTGGAAACATCAATGCTCAGAAAAACAATGGAGGAAGAAAATCAGGGGATCCACAGTGACGTATTTTATTCTGGGATGTGTCATCTCCCCAGGTAAAGTGATCTGATGGGAGCAGAACAGGAAGAGTTGTAGTAACACAGCACACAAAGAATTATAGTTTTATACGTCCTTTTTGCATCCGTGGCAGAAGTCTTAATGATGGAATTAAACAGCTCAACTAAAAATGTAGAGAGCTTCAGTTGGTGGAAGTTAGATAAAGCTGTACAACACGATCCATTGTGCAGATGTGACCAACACAAAGCAGAACAAAGCACAACTACACACTATGTTTACTGGCGTACACTAAGTCTAGAAAACTATTTTCTCAAGCCCATTAGGTAGAGTAAAAAACAGTAATAATAACAGACCTATGAAAGAGTGCAGACAGCAAAAACAAACAGAATTCTGAGAAAATAAGAAGTATAGCAATTTCTTTCAAAAACTATTTTCTATTATAAGCAAAAATCTAAGATATATGATGATAATAGATACAGACACACACACATATATACTATAGGTAGATACACACATATAGATAGGTGACAGACATACACACCAACCTATTTATATATTTTATCAATAGATAATATATAGATAAGAGAGAGTAGTTGATGACTCTAAGTAAAGAATGTTCAGGAATTTATTGTATTATCTTTGTAACTTTTCTGGAAGTGTAAAATTAATTTCAATTATAAGGTTTTTTAACATAATAAACTAGGTCTTGGAAAGATGCTTAACAAACATTGGCAGAAATAAATGATTAAAAATACCTCCCCAAAGTGAACATATTTTAAAAGATGTCTATAAATAAAACAAGAAAGAGAACAAAAATTAAAGTGTCATATGCTTCTCCAGTAAAAACAATCTTTATTCAGCAGGAAAAAGTGATTTAAGAGATATGGACTAGTGGCTATTTCTTTTTAGAGCATGTTCAGGACTTTTATCCCATCCCTCACAAATTTCAAAATAAATTTAATTACTTCAAAGACAAAGAAGACAGATTCATGTAAGGCAAATGAACTATGGGGTAATATTTGGATAAAGCTCACAAGACTTAAAGAAAGAGACGCTAGAATTTAATTCTATGGCAAGAACTTAAAATGGGTAGATGGTGTCACCCCAGGCCAGACTACAGATCTGCAGAGTATATACGAGACATTGGAACAAACAGAAGCACGTTGAAAACAGATGTCAAAGCATAATGTTTTCAGTGAGAAATTGCCATTATTTTGGAATAAATGGACAGAAAGAAAAAAAGCTTAATATCCTAGGTCAAGCAAGAGGCCAATGTGTTGTCGAAGTGGAGTTTTCTTAATAGTTATTCTGCATCTAGGGATTAAATTAGCTTCTTGTATTTGCTGTAATGACCAAAGATTATCTGCCTCATACTTTGTCTCAAACTAAGACCTTAATACTATTTAAAGTAATGTCCCACATGTGTAGCACAGTGGAGAAAAACAGGGTATCATATGTTTACTAAGCACCTTAATTTTGAACAACCAATTTTTTAGTTCCTTCATGATCCTACCACATTGAGAGCACCTCTCACATTTAAACAGGAGGATTAAAGATGAATGAAGCTAAGAATGGATACTAGGTTGGTTTTCTCTTTTCTGATGAGGGTTGTCTTCCATTTGATGTTTTTATCATTTTCCCCTTGAAATGAAGAGTGTAGATCCTCCATCAAAACATTTACACACAGGAGAATATTGGATCAAGAGTTCTTTATGGAGATTACTTTTGTCCTGATATATGACAAAGACTTTAAGGATCAGGATCTGAAAGAAATTTGGAGTAAGAGGTGTGATTAATTATTATATCTGGAATTTGCAATGCACCAGTTTTTTTCTGCAGGAATTCCAAGTGGTAAGATATATTAATAGTTGAAAGAATAAAATGCAGTTGGTTTTATTCAGGGGAGCTGAAGTCTAATTGCTATTTTTTTGACATTTATTTTAGAATTTTGCTCATCCTTCTGAGGTGAATGGCAACACCTTTGGAGCCAGTCATCACGGGGAATCAAAGAGTGAGTGGGCATTGGGATCAGATAGACTGGGCTTCCAGATCCCAGCTGCAAGGTTATTGGCAGAAACCTTCACATATTTTTTCTGAGACTCAGTTTCTTTGTCTGTAAAAGAAAGGTAAGTATTTTCCCCCATAGAGGTGATATTAGGATTGAAATTGGTAAAATTTTAAAGTGTCTAGAATAGTGCCTGACCAGGATTGCTGGATAAACAACGAACATTTTTTTAATGTGTTTGTCCCATATAATATTTATCTATCAGAAGTTCAAATTTAACTTGGTTAAATTCATATGCTAAATTGAACAACCCTATTTCTGGCACAACTCGATAGCTAAAAAATACTGATCGTTCCTTTTCCCCTTCCTGGCCTTTAGACAGGCCAGTGGATTGTTCCTTTATAGAGCATTTGAAGGGAGCAAAATCAGAAGAGTACCCTTGGCCTATATGCCTAGGAATAGACATTAAAAGACAAGAGAGTCAAGCACATTGACGAATGGTGACAGATTCTGCCACAAAAATTATAGGAACCCAAAGTTGAGATGAAAGCATAGCACCCATCTTAAATAAACTCCCAACTTCCCAAAAGTAAAATATAAGCAAATATTATGATAGAGTAAATGAATAATAGAAATAGAGAGAAAATACATTAATTTTAACTATTACCTTGTGATATTGTAGAACATATATGCTTATTTACCCCAAAACAACTTCAAGATCGAAAGTAACTAAAATGTCAAATGAACTTGATGAAACTCAGTCATATACACATAAAATTTCAACTGTCTTGTTAAAGTCAATATTCAATATTGAGATTAAAAAAAAATCAAGGCATTTTTCCCTTTTTGCTTTCCTGAGATAATCAATATCATTGGAAAGTCAGGTTTCCTATTCTGCTTTTAGCCTTCAAAATTTGCCAAATCCCAGGAAAGACATGCCTCTAAGATATAAAAATAACTGTACAAACTTAGTTAATAAGGACCTCATTGGAGCAACATGATATTCTCCCTCAAAACTGGTTTTGCTGGCGACAACCTCAATTTCTCGAGTCAGATACTAAAGTTCTACCTAAACAAAATGCTTAATGACTTGATCTTCAGCAATTAAAACATTCAGGTCATGAAAACTCTTTTCAATTAATTCTAAAAACCAAGTCTCATAGTTTGTATGTCACATGCCAGACTGTATTTTCTCAGTTTAAACTGTTGGTAACATCTTCTTCACAAGGGTAATTATCAGTAACAAATAAGACACTTTACCTAAAGCACATGGGACAGAGTTGGCCCTCAATGAACACTGGTTGTGTCTTCACTTACTCCACCTTAACCACAAGCCAGATACTGGGTATAAAATGATAAATAAGACATAGTTCCATCCCTATATGTTGATGTATGCTATAATATTATTTGTGAGTTTTTGTTGTTGACAAGTCGTGACAAACTATTTTTGGACTCATTTGTAGAAAAGAGAGAAAATTTTCAACCATGCAAAAGGTTTCGATATTACTTCCTTAATAATTATGTAGGAGTAGAGTAATTCCCCGAGTTATCGTACTAAAAATGGAAAGAAAACATATTCTTTAGACTTGGAAAGCAATGCCTCAAAAGGTAACATAATCATATGGGAGAATAAGCTTGCAAAGACAGAAAAACAGCCATCTAATCCAAGCTGTCAACTCCTCCATTTTTGTCCTTCCCTGAAACCTAACTTCACCCTCCTATCTTCTCCCAGAGACCATGACGCCACTGCCAAAGAAAATCTCCAGAAGTCCATGGTTACAGATTCAAGCAAATGAAGGGAACATGATTTTGGCTTGTGTAATAATTAACCATGACTTGCATGAATTTCACATAAGACCAGCTGTAGAAAAGAGCACAGTGAAGATATAACCAAAGTTTATGGCTTGTTAAGAGCCCTTAGACATTAGTTGATATGCTTAAGAACAGTTCTTTGGAAAATGACTCCAAAAAGCAGAATCGAGCCAGTAAAGGAAAGAGCACACAAGAACCAGATTTCTATCTTAGTTTATGCAAGGTTTCTGATATGAATAGACTGCTAAAATAACAAATCGTTTTGCCTGGAATCACCATGTATATTTTCCTTGACTAATCTGTTTAATTCAATCCTGACTCCTACAGTAATAGCAAGACATAACAACTTCTTGGAAATCCTCCCTCTATTGTCTCAAGCAAGATTCCAGAACAGCTGAAGTAAAAATCCTTAGATATAAGCAGAAAAAAGTACTGTCCCAACGTGCCCTGGGTTATCCAGTCTGTTTCTCGTAAACTAGCTCCTAAATTATGCCACATTTTTTGAAAAAAATAATATACACAGGCTATGTCTGCAAGTCAAACTGATGAGCCCATTCTGAAGGCCAAGTTCAGTAAAAATAAGTCAAGCCGAAAGAGAAAACTTGACTATTGTAAAGGTTGAACCAGATGTTTGTATAGAGCCAGTCCAATCATACGGCATAATTTAGAACTTGGCTTATGTGAAACAGATGGCCAAAGGCCTGTCCTTGCGTGCTCTGTGTTCTCTGCTTCTATTACTAAATCTGACTAAGTTTTATATTTTCTGCTTTGTTTTGTTTGGGATCGTTGTTTGTTGTTGTTGTTTAACTGACAATCATTTTAGAAGCCAAACAAGTTGTGTTTATCAATGTAGCCTTTGGAAAAGATGACAAATAACTCGGTGTGGAAGAAATTGGCTTTAGATTTCTTTTTGGCTTTAGTTTCTAGAAACCTAAAGCTTATAAGTGACCGGAGAGAAAATAAAATGTTTGGAAACACCTCCTGAAGCAGATAAGAGAGTTCTGTGGCAACCCCCTGTAAATATGCCCACAATTAGAAAATATTTACCTGGGAGGAAAAAAAGAGAGACCAGGAAATCATCCTAGACTGTGTATGTATCTTTTCCCTCTGCCTGAAATGGTCCACTCACATTCCTTTCCTGATGCACAGAAAAATTCCTACTCATTCTAAATCTCAAAGCAAGAATAACTTTCTGGTTGACTTACAAAGCACTCACTCCTTCCAGTATCTTTCTTTTATTCCATACTGCCTGGCAAGAAAACATCTTTATTTTTTTAATTCCCAACTCAAGAACTTCCTAAGTCTGCAAAGCCCTTCCTGACACAAGTTGATTATTGCTGCTTCATGCCACTGCCGTCTCCAAAATTTACATTTATTATAGCACTAATCACACAGTAGTATAAAGATTTGGAGTTGGTTTTGTTTTCTATATTTCTGTCTCTCTTAGAACACTGATTGTTGCTTGAGGGGAGAGGTCGCTTCTTGTTAAACTCTGTCCTCAACACCTTCTGCAGAGCTTGCATAAAAAGAAAAGAGTAAATATTTTAAAAGCACTCAAAGAGTTGAGCTTTAGCAAAAGCAGGCTGATTTGCTTTAGACCAAATCGCCCTCCAAGAACAACTAGAAAAAGCATACGTGAAAGTTTTTTTAATGTTACAATGTACTAGAATACCAAGGAGATAAGTTTTCAGAGTCTAGGATCCAGAAGAATAGGGATGCGCAGAGGGGTAAACACTACACTTAATAAAGCATTTACCTCTGGAGGAGTGATTTACCAGAGTGACTGAGTGTCCTGGAATCTATCAGTTGTCACCACTTACTGAGGCTGAGGGACAGACACTTGAATTCAAAGCCTCCCAAAGACATAGAGGCCAGGCAAATCTCCCCAGGTTTGGGTTGGCAAGAGGTAAAATTACATCCCAGGAGTAGGGCAAATTGAAAATAAATAACTCTCTTAAGATCTAAAGCTCAGTTACAAATAATCTCATTCTGATTTAATTACAATGATATATCAATAACAGAGCTACCTGAAGCAAAAGTAAATCATCTCTGGAGGAAGATAGCCTCAAATTTTCTGTATGTATTTCCATAAACAAGCAAAATAATCAGACATAGGACAATATATAAATGATAGAAAAATTAGCAGACAAGTTTAAACTCAGAAAGTGAATAAAATAGAATTATCAGGCAAGGACTTTAAAATAACTATGTATAATATGTTTAAGAAATTATATCAAGGAGCATTTTGGTAAACAACTAGAAAATATGCAGAAAATTTTTTTAGCATATGGAAAGATCATGGGGGAATTTTCTAAGAGTGATCTTAATCTTGGTGGTAATTGCAAAGTGTATGCATAGATAAAAATTCAATAAGCTGGGCGGGCACGGTGGCTTACGCCTGTAATCCCAGGAGGCCGAGGTGGGCAGATCACGAAGTCAAGAGATTGAGACCATCCTGGTTAACATGGTGAAACCCTGTCTCTACTAAAAATACAAAAAAATTAGCCGGATGTGGTGGCGGGCGCCTGTAGTCCCAGCTTCTGGGGAGGCTGAGGCAGGAGAATGGAGTGAACCTGGGAGGTGGAGCTCTCAGTGAGCTGAGATCGCACCAATGCACTCCAGCCTGGGCGACAGAGCGAGACTCCATCTCAAAAAAAAAAAAAAAAAAAAATTAAATAAGCTATCTGCTTAAGATATATCTGTTTTACAATACTCCTTGTAGGTATAAACCCAAGAGATATTCACACATACATGCACCAAACATATTGTACAAAAGTGTTCAAATAACGTTATTGTTAATATCAAAAAATTGAGATACCCATTGTAGAATAGTTGAATACCTTATGGTTTATTCAGAAAATGGAATAAAGCAATAAAAATCCATGATGTACTGTTTCATACAACTTGTCTAAGTGTCCAAAGATAACACTGAGAATCCAGACACAGAAAAATACATCTAGAATGAATCCATGTATATAACTTCTAAAACAGGTAACAAGCTGGGATAGTGGTTACCTTCAGAAAAGGAGAGTGATTACAGGTATGCACAAAAGGTGTTCCGGGATGCTGAAAATTCTCTGTGTCCTGAGCTGGGTAGTATGGCCTGTTATATTTATTTTATGATAATTCACTCAGCTATATATTTACAATTTCTATACTTTAAGTTTTACTGCACTGAAAACATATAAAAATTATAAATAAAAATAAGCATTCGGTAAATGTTGTTGAAAGAACTAATGTATGAAGGAATAGGTCAATGAATCTTGTTTCAAGGATTTACAGCCACTAGAGAGAAAAGGGTAATGAGAACAGGTACTAAGAAATGAATAATCTAACAACTTCACCTGGATTGACTGGGATTTATGTGACTGTTAAAATTAGGTGACTACTGGGCACTTGAGATAAATGTCTTTCAGGATATTACCTAATATTTGACTTAGCAATAAATTCTTTCTGCTATTATGACCTAAATTATTCTTGCAGTTAACATTCTACTTGTCTTTGGTCATATTTTACTTCTCTGTTTCTAAAAACTACTCTCAAGATAGACCACACTGAATAAATAGACCTTTGACTAGAAGAGCAATATGAAGACTGATTGTTAAAATAACAGAAAACCAATCTGGTTTGGGGGTACTTATATTATCTGAATAAGTCCTGAAATTCACACATATATTCAACTCACTTTTTTAGCTAACCCTGGTACAAATTAGTATATGACAGTGGCAATTTACCAAATGGGTTTCTGAAATCACTGGGAAGTCTAACGGTGTTTTCCCAGAGAGCTAAATTATTATTTGCTAATAACAGCACAATAGGAGGAGTTGGTTTCATATTTTTTTGGTGGTATTTGACTTGATTTTTCATCACTTTATTCCAATTATTGGTTAATTCCTGGTGTTCTCTTTCAGCTGTTTTATAAGCCACGTGTATTACAGGATGTCTCATGCAAATAGAAAAATTTCAGATTGTCTTAGAAAGTATATCATAGGGCTCTGTGTTCTGCAGACTCAAAAATACCACTGGACCCAATCAACACAGAAACTAAGTAATATACTGAAGCTTCCCAATATAGGAAAATATGTAAAAATCCAAGTGTTTTAGGAAAAAAATTAAGTGCATAACTCCAGGACAAGCAGCTGTCAGCACCTGTTGACATTATAAACTACATCCTAAATTGTTCTCCAAACACACTTTGGAAGTGAACTCTCATGATCACCTAAGGCCCAAGGCGTCTGACAAAAGTCAGTGGTCCAGATAAGTGGCTGAGACAATTGCCTAGTCTAAGGGAAGTCGTGGTGTCCTCCTCCTTATGGGACTGCAGCCACAAAGTCTGGTCCTTTGTGACCAGCCAAAGGAATCATGGTCCCTCCTTTCCAAATGCAGTGAACATCTGAGTTTGGTGACTGATGACAGACCCTTGTAAAGGGCAAGAGTGATGTTAAAATCATTCAAGGGTTTGTAGCATCAGCAGGAACTCTACTGAAGACCAAGTTCCCCATCCGTAATGTGGCTTAGTGGTTCTTGCCTCAAAGAGTGATAGAGAAATTTTTTCTCTCCCCTTAAGGGCCATGCCTTTAGGAGACAATTAAAAAATATATATGTAACAGGTTCTTCACAGCGTTTTGAAAGTAAATAACAATACAAGCAAATATGAGTGGATTAACCCTAATGAGCAGTAGTCCTCTGTACGACCTACTACCCTCAATCTTTGTCCTATCAGCATGCTACTAGTATTACTTTTTTATTTTTAATTTACTCAAATAATTTACCTTAAATACATCAGATTCATCGTAAACAATACTTTCATTATCATGAATTTGATATATTAGTTACATTTTTTCTGACATATTTAAAATCAATACACGATTTTTTTTTTTTGGAGAGACAGGGTCTTGCTATGCTGCCCAGACTTGTTCAAACTTGTGTGCTCAAGCAATCCTCTTACTTTAACCTCCCTAAGTACTGGGATTACAGGTATGAGCTACCCCGTGAAGCCTTTAATAAATTAAAAACATTAATCAGTCATTCTATCATTGAAAATTAGCTTACTTAAAGCTGAGGGAAGCTGTGCCATACTTTGGAAAACCTTGTTGAATACCTCACTTGAGTTTTGTTGCTTTTTTCAATCTTCCATATGTGAACTTGAGACAAGGAAGTGTAGGGGAAAATCATCCATACTTTAAATCACATCTGGGTTTTAAACCGTTTGGCCACCAAGTAGCTGTAACATAGATGGTTGACTTAATCCCTACATCTGTTTTATCATTTGTCAAGTGCAAATGGAAAGCCCTGCCTTGAAAGAATATGAAACTTAAACAAGATTATGTTTTCAGAACACTAAGTACAGGGCCTGTAACGTAATAGGAGCTCAATAAATGCAAGTCTTCTTATTCCTTCTTCAGCAAAGATCAAACCCTAAATCATCAGGTTTCCACTGTGTTTTAAACTTTCTTCAGTTCAAAGACAAGAAACATTAGAAGATTTTCCAAAAATTGACAACCCACACATGTTGATTATTATAGATGATTATATTGATGTATTATTCTCACTGTACATATCACACTATTTCATAATTAATTGTTCACACATCTGCCTGTCCCATTAGATTACAAATATCTTGAGGGCAAATTCTGGTGGTTCAATTTCACCATCTAAATATCTCCACAATCTGTCACTTCTTTCCAATCATACTATCACTATCTAGTCCAAACCACTGTGATCTCCAGTGTAGACTGTTGTAATTGTTTCCTGACTGGCCTCTCACTATACATTCTTACTCTGATCAATCCATCCTTTCATAGTACAAGCAAAAGAGCTTCTTTTAAAGATGCAAATTTTCTCTCTCTCATTTAAAACCTTTCAGCTACTTAACGTTACTCCTGGAAGAACATCTCAAATCCTTCAACTTAACCACAAAGGATTATTTAATCTGGCCCCTACCTACATGCATACGGCCTCACACAGAGTTTCTGTCCTTCTCCTTCCACATTTTAAATATAATGGTCTTTTTTCCATTTCACAAACCATAACATCCTTTGTCACTTAAAGACACTTCAATTTGCTGTCTAGAATGCTTTCCAGCAGCACAAATGAATGTTGTAAGGCTAAGCCCTTCAGGAACCAGAATGAAATTCAATTCCCTAGGACGCCTCTTGAACAACTAAGCCTTCCCTGCTGTCCATCCAAAGTAGCTTGTACTTCAACACTCTTGCACCATGAGTACAGAGACCTCTTCTGCCTTTTCATTGTCATGTCCTCAGCAACTAAAGCAGGGCTGACACATATATATGCATTTAATGAAGGCACGAACACACTTGAATTAATCTATTTGTGGCACAAAGGCAAAATATTAATTTTCTTTTACAAAACTTATTTATCTACACATGCAAATATATTTAGCTACACAATTCTACTCTAAGTAGAATATAATTCTGAATATTCTTTTTAGAGCGCCCAAACGTAAACACATCCCTTTCTGTCATGTATCCCCAGCGCTCAAGCTAAATCTACTACTACTACCTCTATGGATTGTTCTTCATAAAATGTTCACAAAAGAGACAGGATCTCAGATGAACAGACATCTCCCATCCCCACTCATGCCCCTGCTGGCCTCCCCACCTGGTCCTGATTGAAGCACTCCTTTCTAATGTCTGAGGCAAGTGGGACTTGAACTGGATAAATCTGCCTGCCTGCTACTCAGAGGGGGCTGAGGTATCAGTTCCAAATCCACTGATAAGGAAATTCTCTGATGATAACAGCAGGCTTGACATTGATGAAGCCTCCCCATCTGGTATGTTTAGGGGAGCAATCATGAACAAGGGGTGGCAAAATGTGTTTTCTTGGCTCCTGGCCACCACCATATTGTGTTAAGATTCCTCTCTCTTCCACTGCTCTCCGTCCCCATTTCCGTGTGACTTGAAGGAACTGTTCTAGAAATTTTTGGCTGCTTCTGAAAGCTTTCCTTTCCTTTTTTTTTTTTTTTTTTTTGGACTAAATCAGGCTGTTTTATTTGATGGAGAAAATGCCTTCCCTTTGGATGTATTCAGAAAGTTCTTTTACAGAGAAGAAAGTTGCATATGCAGTTTGTGTCACATTAACATCCCCTTAGAGGCCAATGTGGTGTCTAATGGAGTTGCTAGATACATTTTAAAAGTCAGCAACATTTTAAATTACTGTCGTTGCTCTGTTCAGTGGTCATTAGATGCTCTTTTTTTTCTGTTTGGATACACCGGATGGGTGGTGGCACACTTAGGCACCCAAGTTGATCTAATGTATTCAATTTATTTCCAGGTGTCTTGCTTCTCCATAAAAAATGATGTGCACATCCTATGTGAATAGAATGCACACCCATTGATTGTGTCAAAGATACTATGACTTCTGGATAGCTGCAGAACAGTAACAGGCAATCTCAGTGTAATTAGCTACCTGAGCACACCTAGGAGAGAGAGAAAGGTATCTTACTGATGTTACCTTCTGCATGTCTCTTGGTGAAACAATAATAAAGCAGAAATATATTTTTACTCATTTGCAAGACTCTGCCTGGTATTAACACATAAGCATATATTTTTATTCCCTAAATGTAACTAGAAATGTACAGAACAATTAACTTGACTTGTACATAATGGACACTAAAATACAATCACTAAATTTTAGAATTGAAGGGCTTTAACTAAGAACTAAGAAATAAATATCCTAGCCAGTTACATAAAAGCCAGTTAGTGAAACAATCTAAAATAGAACCCAAGCCTCCTAACCCCTAAATCGTTCTTTATCCAACACAACAGCTGCAACATTTTATTGAATAAATTGGTGAATTCGCTATTATTTAGTATAATCAGTAACACTAGGAATATTAGTCAAATGAAAACCCCACCAAAAATGTTAAGATTTGTCTTATACCAGTAGCACTTTTAAGTATAATAAATTGACACATATTCTGTGACTGCTTTCTGTGTCATTATGATCTAAATCTGTAAATCTCATTTTTAGTTTCACCATTATGAAGGTATGCTTTTACTGTCTTTAGAGATAAACAGATATCCTGATATGTGATTATATCATGTAAATTTGCAATGAACTGCATGGTGTATATCTGTTTGAGAATTACTTACAGCTAATTTTTAGTTCCAGATTGATAACCTCCTGTCACAATGCTACTGTATGTATGCAGATAAAAGTGTTTTTAACATAGTTGGAAACAAAATATATTTATATCTTACATGTGGTATATCTTCATTAATATTCTAACTCTTCTAGTAAAAAAAATCAGATATACCCCAAAAGCCTGCTATAATTAACTTCAACTTTCCCCTGCCTCTGGATTACCTCTCCCACTACTTCTTTCCAACAACAACAGGATGTTACCATTCCTATTGGAATATGGTACTGCTTAAAAAGATTTATACAAGCATCGGTTATTGACAACACAGATATGATTAACAGTGATCACTCTCTATGTACATTCAAAACCAATTTTGTTTCAACTTCTATTGACACATCTAAAAAGCTTAGTTATTGAGTTTCTCCCCAAATAGATGCACTGCCCCTAATTATAATGGAATCAGGGGATTTTAGGTTTGAGGTATTATCACATGGCACTGTGATAAAGTGCATCAAGTCAACACCTGGATTACATTCCCAGCTCTTCCACGTAACAGGTCTGTGACATTAAGCAATGTCATAAGCAATGCTAAGAAATTAAATTGCATTAAACAATTCTAAAATGCAGGTAATAGTATTACCATATTTAAAAGATTTTTGATTAAATGAGATCACTATACTTAGAACAGCTAGAAAATGGTACTCAAAAAGTCTCAGCTAGTATTATTGGAATAAACTCAATAAATCAATCAACTTCATTTCCTCTCAGTGCAGGAATTCCATTTGAAATCTCCTCAGTAGACAGTAATCCAGCTTGAGGTAAAATGCTTCCCCTATTAGCACACTTGGCTCTTCATAAAATTTTTTTCTTCCATTACTGACAACATTAAGTGTAGAAAGTCCATCATGGTATTGAGTTAATATTGACTTCTTCCATAACCACCACTTTATCTTAGTCCTAAACTGGGAAAACCTGCATAAATCTAATGGCAGCCCTTTAAATATGGAGAGCATTTACCCAATGCCCTACCTAAAATTACCCTTTATGCTATGCTTATCTTATTATTGATACATATGATTAATTAGATTGTTAATGAGGTTAATTATAACCAATTTTTCAAGTTAAATTGAGAAACATTTTACATGTTTTCTAAAATGAGGAAACAAATGAATTAGAAAAGTCTCTGTTTACATAGAAACCATTCATTTCCGTTGAGTAGATGGTGAGGGAAAAACGGCTCGGGGATAACACTGTGGCCATGGTAAGTACTTTTTCACCTTTTGTTCCCAACTGTATTGTTTGTTTTCAAAGTGAGACTATCACTCTATGTACTTGCTGCCAGTCATACAATTAAAACGTGTGCTGCCCATCAAAAAGCTTATCCACAATGATCAAGTTAGCTTCATCCCTGGGATGCAAGGATGGTTCAGCAAATGCAAATCAATAAACGTAATTCATCACATAAACAGATCTAAAGACAATAACCACATGATTATCTCAATAGAAAAGGCCTTCGATAAAATTCAACATCTCTTCATGTTAAAAACTCCCAATAAACTAGGTGTTGATGGAATGTATCAAAATAATAAGAGCTATTTATGACAAACCCACAGCCAATAGCATACTGAATGGGCAAAAGCTGGAAGCATTCCCTTTGTAAACCAGCAAAAGACAAGGATACCCTCCCTCATCACTCCTATTGGACCTATTATTGGAAGTTCTGGCCAGGGCAATCAGGCCAGAGAAAGGAATAAAGGGTATCCAAGTAGGAAGAAAGGAAGTCAGTTTGTCTTTGTTTGCAGATGAGATGATCTTATTATCTAGAAAACCCCACTGTCTCAGCCCAAAAGCTTCTTAAGCTGATAAACAACTTCAGCAAAGTCTCAGGATACAAAATCAATGTGCAAAAGTCACAGGCATTTCTATACACCAACAACAGGCAAGTAGAGGGCCAAATCATGAATGAACTCCCATTCACATTTGCTACAAGGAGAATAAAATACCTAGGAATACAGCTAACAACGGAAGTGAAAAACATCTTCAAGGAGAACTACAAACCACTGCTTAAGGAAATCGGAGAGGGCACAAATGGAAAAACATTCCATGCTCGTGGATAGGAAGAATCAATGTCATGAAAAATGGCCATACTGCCCAAAGTAATTTATGGTTTCAATGCTAATCCCATGAAACTACCATTGAAATTATTCACAGAATTAGAAGAAACTATTTTAAAATGCATATAGAATCAAAAGGGAGCTTGTAAAGCCAAGACAATCCTAAGCAAAAACAAAGTTGGAGGCATCATACTACTGGACTTCAAACTCTAGTACAAGGCTATAGTAACCAAAACAGCATGGTACTGGTACAAAAACACACACACAGACCATGAAACAGAATAGAGAACTCAGAAAGAGACTGCATATCTACAACCATCTGATTGTCAACAAACCTGACAAAAACCTGCAATGGGAAAAGGATTCCTTATTTAGTAAATGGTGCTGGGAGAACTGGCTAGCCATATGCAGAAAACTGAAACTGGACCCCTTCCTTACATCTTTTTATACAAAAAATCAACTCAACATGGATTAAAGACTTAAATGTAAAACCCCTACAAGAAAATCTAGGCAATACCATTCAGGACATAGGCATGGGCAAAGATTTTATGATGAAATTGCCAAAATCAATTGCAACAAAAGCAAAAATTGACAAATGGGAGCTAATCAAGCTAAAGAGCTTCTGCATAGCAAAGGCAACTACCATCAGAGTGAACAGGTAACTTACAAACAACCCCATTAAAAAGTGGGCAAGGGACATGAACAGACACTTCTCAAAAAGACATTCATGTGGCCAAAAAATATATGAACAAAAGCTCAACAGATTTATCATTAGAGAAGTGCAAATAAAAGCCTCAATGAGATACCATCTCACACCAGTCAGGATGGCGATTATTAAAAAGTGAAGAAACAACAGATGCTGGCAAGGTTGCGGGGAACCTCGTTGGTGGGAATGTAAATTAGTTCAACCATTGTGGAAGACAGTGTGGCGTTTCCTCAAAGATCTAGAACCAGAACTACCATTTGACCTAGCAATCCTATTACTGGGTATATACCCAAAGGATTGTTAATCATTTTATTACAAAGATACACGCACATGTATGTTCACTGCAGCACTATTCACAGTAGCAAATACATAGAATCAACCCAACTGTCCATCAATGATAGACTGCATAAAGAAATTGTATACACAACGGAATGCTATTTAGTCATAAAAAGGAATGAGATCATGTCCTTTGTAGGGACATGGATGGAGCTCAAAGCCATTATCCTCAGCACACTAATGCAGGAACAGAAAACCACACACCATATGCTCTCACTTATAATGGGAGCTGAACAATGAAAACACACAGACACAGGGAGGAGAACAACACACACTGGGGTCTGTCAGGGTGGTCGGGGGAGGGAGAACATCAGGATAAATAGCTAATGCATGCTGGGCTTAATACCTAGGTGATGGGTTGATAGGTGCAGCTAACCACCATGGCACACGTTTACCTATGTAACAAACCTGCACATCCCAGAATTTAAAATAAAAATATGGGCTGCCTAGATATGCCATTTAGCTGCTCTAAATTTTACACAATTATAGTCTGTATGCTTTCTATTTTGCTTATTTTTGAAAATGTTGGTCAAGCCTCTTTTATGCCTTTTCTTTTAAATCTAGATTTTATGTAACAGCTTACTTAACCAGACGTATACTTTCTTCACGACCTTCCCCTTCAGTATACTGATGAAAGTAACATGCATTCTTGAAGATATGTAAAATGCTTTCTATATTATAAATTGGAAAATGTTGTATACAGGCTTTATCGTTATATATTCTAATTTTCACTCACTTCTATTTTTCCTTCTCTTACTTGCCTACAACATCAAAATTGTACCCGTTCAATAGTTAATATTTCTTCTTTTCCTATTATCTTCTCTCTAAATTTTCTTAACTACAAATCTTTTAGAAATCTTATGGGAAAACCTGTTAGATACTTCTCTTTATAGTCTATCTTCTGAAAGACATTGAATTGTCTGAGCTTTTATACAGCATATTCCTAAAGACAATCTTTTGGATGCATGGAGTTTAACACATTTTTCTTAAACACATCATAATCTCTAGTTTTCTTTGTTCATGCAGATGTAAAATCTGCAGTGTTTGTAGTACAGAGAATCACAGGTCCATTTTTTTATGCTGATGCTTTTATTGGAGCTCATGCTTACCAATGCCAACCTTTATTTTTCTTTTCTTAAAGAAAATAATAACCATCTCTTACAAAAATACCAGAGCAATTTATATTACACTAAAGTTCTTTTTATTTCATTTGCTAATAATGTATTGCTGCAGTGTTTTTCTGATAAATTGCTATAACTTGCAATTTATACCAACCATCACACACGAAAAGTTGCATTGCTGCAGTTTTGCAAGTATTTTTAAGAATGTGTAAAATATTGAGCTTTCATTTGTGTTATACAGTAAGATTCTAATTATTTGCACTAATGGAAAGGAACAAAAGTAAAGATAATTTTAAATACCAAATTCCAACACCTAAATGAGGCCTATTAGTAGCTGAAACTTTGAAGATTGAATAAAAAATAATCAAGTAATGCATTGATAATATATAGCTGAGATCAGAATTTGAAAGTACGTATTTCCCTTATCTTACCCCAAATTTCTGCATCTCTCTATGCTGGAACTAGATCTCCCTCCCTCTCAGGTTGATAAAATAAATCAGCTAAACAGAGATATCTTCTTCCAAATTTTTCTACATCTCTCTCTCAGACTGATAAAAATAAATCACCTAAACAGAGATAACTTCTTTCAAAATTTTCTACAGCCCAAGATAACAGGTAATCTGGGAGTAAAGTAGATCAGTATCTCAACAAAATACACTTTCAAAATCAACTATTTGATATCTGTCCCAAGGGATGGCAAAAGAGCCTGGTTACAATCTGCCAATTTGATTGTACACAAAGAATCTCTGTCATCTCCATCATCATGTATTGAGCATCCAGTTTGTATTAGTCATCGTATTCATGGCTAGCTCTCTGTGTGTTAGATTTCTAGGTTTACACTAAGAAAAGGCTCAAAGAGGGTAATTTGCCTAAGTACAGAGAGATAATAAGTTGCCAAATGAAGGATTTAAACTAAGTTGGATTTACTCCAAACTCATGGACTGCTCAATTCCCACTATAAGCTACCCTACTCCTCCACTGTTGGAAATTTAGTCTTATGACATCTGTAAGCAGAGCTCATCTCTTTTCTCTGATGGAGCATTTTCTCTTTCTTTTCTCTGATACTGGTATCACAAAACAATGTCTACTCCTTCATGTCATTTACTAAAAAAAAAAAAAAAAAAAAAAAATTTGAGAGATCTTCGACATCTTCCCTTGAATGTAATGATGTATATAAAGAGTTATTCTTTTTAGCGTAAGAATGGAAGCAAGCATTTTATGGTCTCAGAAGAAGTCAGATTTATCACACATGCTGCTGTCCTGGGACCTGCTGTCTTGGCTATCAGGAGGGGCACCAATTGGCTGCCGTAATCAGTCATGCATTGTGTATGCCGGGCACCCTTCTTACTGTTAGGTCTGGCCATATTTCCCCACAGTCTGAAATTTATTCACGTCAGCCTGTACCCCAGCAGCAGATAGTTTGTCTCTTTGATATGTTATTGGCTTCTAGAAGTCTGACAGTTTTCCCTGTGTAGTTTTAATACATACTGATGAGTTTCCTGAACTATTATATACACTCAGAAATTCTTACAGTACCTCAAAGGCATTTCGCCTTATTTACTAGTTCTCAGTATGCATTCTCTGGGCCACTAGAGATTCTTCAAGGTACCAAAAAGGTTTGGGGGACCTTTTTCGAAATGCAAAAGGCTTAGGGAAAACAGTATTCTTAGCAATGCTGCAGCTGTAGAAGCTCTATGTAGCATTAAAATTCTTTCATTGTGTTAAGATTATGTGAACACACTCTGATAACCTGGTTAATTAATGCTTATTGAAATCTCTAGTTAGCAGTTATGATGGCACTAACTTTAAGTATGAAAATTTGATTATAAATTTGTAAAGACATTTATATTGACAAAACCCTAAATCTTAGAATCCAAAAGGAAAAAGTAATAAAATGGCTCCTTGGAGCTCACAAGGTTGAGAATTTCTTTTTTTTTTTTTTTTTTTTAATCTATCCACCTATCTCGTCAAAAGAATCAGTGTTAATAGCAATGGTAACGATTATTATCAGCATATTATAATAGTGGAATCAGCTACCATTAAGATCCTACTGTAAATTATGTAATATGTTAATGCCTTAATACATCATTTCTTTAAAACCTGGAATTTACAAGAAAAAAACAAACAACCCCATCAAAAAGTGGGCAAAAGACACGAACAGACACTTCTCAAAAGAAGACATTTATGCAGCCAAAAAACACATGAAAAAATGCTCACCATCACTGGCCATCAGAGAAATGCAAATCAAAACCACAATGAGATACCATCTCACACCAGTTAGAATGGCAATCAGTAAAAAGTCAGGAAACAACAGGTGCTGGAGAGGATGTGGAGAAATAGGAACACTTTTACACTGTTGGTGGGATTGTAAACTAGTTCAACCATTGTGGAAGTCAGTGTGGCGATTCCTCAGGGATCTAGAACTAGAAATACCATTTGACCCAGCCATCCCATTACTGGGTATATACCCAAAGGACTTTAAATCATGCTGCTGTAAAGACATATGCACACGTATGTTTATTGTGGCACTATTCACAATAGCAAAGACTTGGAACCAACCCAAATGTCCAACAACGATAGACTGGATTAAGAAAATGCGGCACATATACACCATGGAATACTATGCAGCCATAAAAAATGATGAATTCATGTCCTTTGTAGGGACATGGATGAAATTGGAAATCATCATTCTCAGTAAACTATCGCAAGAACAAAAAACCAAACACCGCATATTCTCACTCATAGGTGGGAATCGAACAATGAGAACACATGGACACAGGAAGGGGAACATCACACTCTGGGGACTGTTGTGGGGTGGGGGGAGGGGGGAGGGATAGCATGAGGATATATACCTAATGCTAAATGACGAGTTAATGGGTGCAGCACACCAGCATGGCACATGTATACATATGTAACTAACCTGCACATTGTGCACATGTACCCTAAAACTTAAAGTATAATAATAATAAAATAAAATAAAAAAATTTGGAACAGGTGTAAAATAGATAACACTGTCTTCTTTATATAGATAAGCAAAGTACATTAAAAAGTAAAAACTAACCAATAATTTCAACACTAGAAAACCACTGGTTTTTGTACTGCCTTACAGAGGCCTCCACCCTAAACAAAAGCAATTATCTGTTAAGTCAAACTGAATAAATTTATCTTAAGAAATTATCTACTTTAAGAATATACCTTATTAAGCACTAGACTTACTAATGATATAATAAAGTGAACCATGCAGTTGTTATTTCCCTATGTGCTGTACAGACACAAAACATATTTAGTGTAAGCAAATCAGTATTTTCTGTCCATTTCCAAAGCCAGTTTCCTTATTTTTGGTTATGTTAAAGACACAGGCATATGAAGAGGATACTTCTTCCTGAGTAGCAACATGGAAACAAAGCCACAGTTCAGGTGATTCAGGAATGCCCCCGACTCTAGGGAAGATGCTATAAGATGACTATCCTTGAAAGATAAGCAGAATCTTACGTTTCCCAAACAGAGTGTATAATCTACTGCCCCAGTCTGTATGCATTTGCTTGATAGTTCAGTACTCACCAAATGAAGAATAATTTTTCCTAAATTTTCTTATCCTTAATCTATACTTATCTGACTCCCTGGGGTATTTCTGTATGTGTCTTTTTTACCCTAAATCTCATTCTCCATTAGCTCCTCCAACCTAAAAATTGATTTTTAGGGATGTTGTTTCCATCTTAATCACCAAACATATTATGATCTATCAAATAATTTCCAGTGACCATATTATTTTTATAATGACATGAGAATTTCAGAGAATCTCTCTCCTAATTACTCTTCTCTCCATTTACTATTAAAGTCTGTTTTGCCCAAGTTTACCATAATCTCCTAATCATTCTGTCAAATAATTCATAATCTATAAATAAGTTCATAGGTTCATAAAAGAACTCCTCTGTCATAGATGGATTTCACATTGAGAGGCTAAGAATGAGCTTGTCATGCAAATACTTACAAATTAATTTGTGTGTTTTAAAATTATATGTGATATGCTATATTGCATTTTGTGAAACCTGGATCCAGTTTGAAGAAAATGGACAAAACAATCACTACGCTGATAGAAAAATATTTTTCAAATTCACTGTGAAATAGTGCCTAGATAACTTTACTGACTTTCGAAGTCCTCCCTCAACTCAAAGATACCTGGCTTAGAGTCTGGAATCAGACACTGGGTTTGTGTTGGCTCTGTCTCAACATTCCACATCCAATTTTTCAGCAATTTTATCAGCATAATTTAAAATTATATGTTATAATCAATGAGACAAGATTACTGAAAATGTAGTAATGAAAACCAATCATTCTACATACACTAAATAATGCTTCTTGAATTAAAAAAAAATCATTCTTCAGGCCTGGACAAGAGAAAATAATCAACTAGTACATTATATTTGAGTAATGTCTATTCCAAAAATGGCTGACATGGGAGGTTGTTATGATGAGGCTTGAGTCATGCATTACCCTGTGGGATTTATGGGAAAACTCTTAGCCATATGAAGCACTCTGGTGCAACCACACTCGGTGCAGTTAACTCAGTGTAGTTAACTTGGTGTGTAGTTACCAGACAAGGGTTTTTTCATTTGAAGAAATGATTCTGACAGCCTATAAGACAATGAAAAACATGTTCAGAAGCCAGGCAGGCAACATCTACAGCTACAAACACGTATTTTTCAGAAGACAGTTGTCAAATGTCTACTCTAACTTACAATATGGAGAAATCTATCACACTTCAGGAAATTTAGGCTTTATCTTTGCAATTCAATAATAATGTTATGGGCTATCAGAATCCTTCACCTTTTCAGTTAAATATATACATGTAAGCATATATATAAGTGTGTGTATATATATATAGAAATATATATACTTATATATGTGTATATATATATAGAAATATATATACTTATATATGTGTATATATATATAGAAATATATATACTTATATATGTGTATATATATAGAAATATATATACTTATATATGTGTATATATATAGAAATATATATACTTATATATGTGTATATATATAGAAATATATATACTTATATATGTGTATATATATAGAAATATATATACTTATATATGTGTATATATATAGAAATATATATACTTATATATGTGTATATATATAGAAATATATATACTTATATATGTGTATATATAGAAATATATATACTTATATATGTGTATATATATAGAAATATATATACTTATATATGTGTATATATATAGAAATATATATACTTATATATGTGTATATATATAGAAATATATATACTTATATATGTGTATATATATAGAAATATATATACTTATATATGTGTATATATATAGAAATATATATACTTATATATGTGTATATATATAGAAATATATATACTTATATATGTGTATATATATAGAAATATATATACTTATATATGTGTATATATATAGAAATATATATACTTATATATGTGTATATATATAAGTATATATTTCTGTGTATATATAAGTATATATATCTGTATATATATAAAAGTATATATCTATATATATGAAAGTATATATCTGTATATATATATATAAAAAAGTATATATCTGTATATATATAAAAGTGTATATATATATAAAAGTATATATATATATATATATATATATATATATATATATATACACACATATATATATCCTGGCAGCAGAGTTTATTGGAAATAATTGCAAGTCAGTTGAATTGGGACTTGGCCTGGTCCTGCCACATACTCATTGTATAACTGTCACAAATGGGCCTCTGATTTTTTATTATTTGTTAAATTAGGGAATAAATTTTAACTAGATGATTTCTATGGTCCTTTCACCCTATGATTCTATCATCTCTG
Source organism: Homo sapiens (assembly GCF_000001405.40). Classification (NCBI taxonomy): domain Eukaryota; kingdom Metazoa; phylum Chordata; class Mammalia; order Primates; family Hominidae; genus Homo; species Homo sapiens. Next base: position 23,802,377 of record NC_000006.12, read on the forward strand.
TAACTGTACACATACACACATATATGAACATGGGGGAGATGAAATTAAATCCTAGTTATTAGAGAAGCAATCCTCAAAATACAATTCCTAAATTAGACATGTTTTATGGGTTAATGAAAGTTTTATAATAAATGTGAATTTTTACAGTGACCACCTACATCTGTAAGTTAATCAATGACAACTTTTAATAATCTTAATTACTGACAGTTACTCAAGCAAAAGTTTAGAAGATTTTCTCCTAATCTAACAGAAGCACATTAATTTAGAAGTTTGAAGAGTCTGTGGTATAGTTATCACAGTCCATAAATGAAATAAACTTGGGAGTCCCTCTGTTTATGCACAAATTATCACATCCCATTCCTCTTAGTAATACAAGAACCAGGGATTCTTACCTATGCCACCCAATACTTCAAAGTATCACCATCTTCTAAGTGGAGATAGGGACACATTAAGTAATAATCTGTACTTATTTGTTCTTTGCTCTATCTGTTCATGTATAATCTGCTTAGACTCCTGGAAATGTTTAACTCAAAAGCATCTGTCCATGGCCCCTGGGATTTTCTACCCAAATTTATATGTTTATTCTCAACCTGCCACTTTTTGCTTTAAACCTTTCTGCGGTGCTACATAAATCCTTAAATTCCTAGATGTTATATATTTTAGCATGTTCTCCTTATCTCGTGTTCCTAATCTCTACCAATTTAGGAACTGTACTGTACATTTAGCTTTGATAATCATTCCGATAAGACAATCTCTTAATCACACTCCATACACTTTGCCAGATTGCTTCCATTTATCAGCTCTTTAAGATTTAAATGCCAAACCTCAAATACAGCTGCAAAAGTTGAGCTATATACTCATGAGATGAAATAATAAGTAATTGATAAATCCAGGAAATGAAACTTGGATCAAACCATCACTGCCTGAAACTAATTGCCTAGAATTGAGTAGGGACAATAATTTAGCTTTCCCACTTGAACATAAAACATCAAACTAAAAAGAAAATCAACAAAAAATGAGGTCTATGATGGATCTTTAAACTGATAATTTAACATCTCAAATAAGATTGTTAAACAGATTTTCAGGTAATATTAAAACATCCACAGGCACATTTAGAGGGTCACTGATTCCTTTTTTTCAGTCAAAGCAAACACAAGTCAGTCCACAAAAAGAGTTGACACACAGTTCATTCGTCATATTCATGGCTGCCAATCATTTTTTGATTAGCCTTTCTGTATTGGTAAAATTTTGTATTACGAGTTCTTCTTCCTCGAATTAGAATTCAGAATTCAAATATTCTGCCTTGCTTTTGGGGAAAAAAGTCTAAAGAAATCTCTATTAACCAAAATCAATCACAGGATGCTTTGACTTAGAAATAATGTTGAAATAGGCTTGATGTGGACATTTAATTTTTCTTGCATAGGTGACAAGACAATATCAACCTTTTGAGAATAACTATAATTATAAAAGTTGAATCTTTGATGCTTGACAGAAATGGTTGTAATAAAGATGATTGTCTTGCATTTGGTGCTTCTCTGTGGCAGCAGAAATGGTGGTTATATTTTTCTGCAGATCTGGGGCATTGTTCCTCTACCCTTAAGCATTAGTCAATTTCTTCAGCCCTCCCAGTGATTTGGGGAGCAATCTAATATCCTTCAAAGTAACAGCCCTGGGGGAGGAGCCAAGATGGCCGAACAGGAACAGCTCCGGTCTACAGCTCCCAGCGTGAGCGACGCAGAAGATGGGTGATTTCTGCATTTCCATCTGAGGTACCAGGTTCATCTCACTAGGAAATGCCAGTGGGCGCATGTCAGTGGGTGCACGCACCATGTGCAAGCCAAAGCAGGGTGAGGCATTGCCTCACTCGGGAAGTGCAAGGGGTCAGGGAGTTTTCCTTTCCTAGTCAAAGAAAGGGGTGACGGACGGCACCTGGAAAATCGGGTCACTCCCTCCCCAGTACTGCGCTTTTCCAACGGGCTTAAAAAACGGCACACCAGGAGATTATATCCCGCACCTGGCTCGGAGGGTCCTACGCCCAGGGAGTCTCGCTGATTGCTAGCACAGCAGTCTGAGATCAAACTGCAAGGCAGCAGCGAGGCTGGGGCGGGGCGCCTGCCATTGCCCAGGCTTGCTTAGGTAAACAAAGCAGCCGGGAAGCTCGAACTGGGTGGAGCCCACCACAGCCCAAGGAGGCCTGCCTGCCTGCCTCTGTAGGCTCCACCTCTGGGGGCAGGGCACAGACAAACAAAAAGACAGCAGTAACCTCTGCAGACTTAAATGTCCCTGTCTGACAGCTTTGAAGAGAGCAGTGGTCCTCCCAGTACGCAGCTGGAGATCTGAGAACGGGCAGACTGCCTCCTCAAGTGGGTCCCTGACCCCCGAACAGCCTAACTGGGAGGCATCCCCCAGCAGGGGCACACTGACACCTCACACTGCAGGGTACTCCAACAGACCTGCAGCTGAGGGCCCTGTCTGTTAGAAGGAAAACTAACAAACAGAAAGGACATCCACACCAAAAACCCATCTGTACATAACCATCATCAAAGACCAAAAGTAGATAAAACCGCAAAGATGGGGAAAAAACAGAACAGAAAAACTGGAAACTCTAAAAAGCAGAGCACCTCTCCTCCTCCAAAGGGACGCAGTTCCTCACCAGCAACGGAACAAAGCTGTACAAAGAATGACTTTGACGAGCTGAGAGAAGAAGGCTTCAGACGATCAAATTACTCTGAGCTACTGGAGGACATTCAAACCAAAGGCAAAGAAGTTGAAAACTTTGAAAAAAATTTAGAAGAATGTATAACTAGAATAACCAATACAGAGAAGTGCTTAAAGGAGCTGATGGAGCTGAAAACCAAGGCTCAAGAACTACGTGAAGAATGCAGAGGCCTCAGGAGCCGATGTGATCAACTTGAAGAAATGGTATCAGCGATGCAAGATGAAATGGATGAAATGAATGAAATGAAGCAAGAAGGGAAGTTTAGAGAAAAAAGAATAAAAAGAAATGAGCAAAGCCTCCAAGAAATATGGGACTATGTGAAAAGACCAAATCTACAGCTGATTGGTGTACCTGAAAATGACGGAGAGAATGGAACCAAGTTGGAAAACACTCTGCAGGATATTATCCAGGAGAACTTCCCCAATCTAGCAAGGCAGGCCAACGTTCAGATTCAGGAAATACAGAGAACACCACAAAGATACTCCTCGAGAAGAGCAACTCCAAGACACACAATTGTCAGATTCACCAAAGTTGAAATGAAGGAAAAAATGTTAAGGGCAGCCAGAGAGAAAGGTTGGGTTACCCTCAAAGGGAAGTCCATCAGACTAACAGCAGATCTCTCGGCAGAAACCCTACAAGCCAGAAGAGAGTGGGGGCCAATATTCAACATTCTTAAAGAAAAGAATTTTCAACCCAGAATTTCATATCCAGCCAAACTAAGCTTCATAAGTGAAGGAGAAATAAAATACTTTACAGACAAACAAATGCTGAGAGATTTCCTCACCACCAGGCCTGCCCTAAAAGAGCTCCTGAAGGAAGCACTAAACATGTAAAGGAACAACCAGTACCAGCTGCTGCAAAATCATGCCAAAATGTAAAGACCATCAAGACTAGGAAGAAACTGCATCAACTAACGAGCAAAATAACCAGCTAACATCATCATGACAGGATCAAATTCGCACATAACAATATCAACTTTAAATGTAAATGGACTAAATGCTCCAATTAAAAGACACAGACTGGCAAATTGGATAAAGAGTCAAGACCCATCAGGGTGCTGTATTCAGGAAACCCATCTCACCTGCAGAGACACACATAGGCTCAAAATAAAAGGATGGAGGAAGATATACCAAGCAAATGGAAAACAAAAAAAAGGCAGGGGTTGCAATCCTAGTCTCTGATAAAACGGACTTTAAACCAACAAAGATCAAAAGAGACAAAGAAGGCCATTACATAATGGTAAAGGGATCAATTCAACAAGAAGAGCTAACTATCCTAAATATATATGCACCCAATACAGGAGCACCCAGATTCATAAAGCAAGTCCTGAGTGACCTACAAAGAGACTTAGACTCCCACACATTAATAGTGGGAGACTTTAACACCCCACTGTCAATATTAGACAGATCAAAGAGACAGAAAGTCAACGAGGATACCCAGGAATTGAACTCAGCTCTGCACCAAGCCGACCTAATAGACATCTACAGAACTCTCCATCCCAAATCAACAGAATATACATTTTTTTCAGCACCACACCACACCTATTCCAAAATTGACCACATACTTGGAAGTAAAGCTCTCCTCAGCAAATGTAAAAGAACAGAAATTATAACAAACTGTCTCTCAGACCACAGTGCAATCAAACTAGAACTCAGGATTAAGAATCTCACTCAAAACCACTCAACTACATGGAAACTGAACAACCTGCTCCTGAATGACTACTGGGTACATAACGAAATGAAGGCAGAAATAAAGATGTTCTTTGAAACCAATGAGAACAAAGACACAACATACCAGAATCTCTGGGACACATTCAAAGCAGTGTGTAGAGGGAAATTTATAGCACTAAATGCCCACAAGAGAAAGCAGGAAAGATCCAAAATTGACACCCTAACATCACAATTAAAAGAACTAGAAAAGCAAGAGCAAACACATTCAAAAACTAGCAGAAGGCAAGAAATAACTAAAATCAGACCAGAACTGAAGGAAATAGAGACACAAAAAACCCTTCAAAAAATTAATGAATCCAGGAGCTGGTTTTTTGAAAGGATCAACAAAATAGATAGACTGCTAGCAAGACAAAGAAAAAGAGAGAGAAGAATCAAATAGATGCAATAAAAAATGATAAAGGGGATATCACCACCGATCCCATGGAAATACAAACTACCATCAGAGAATACTACAAACACCTCTATGCCAATAAACTAGAAAATCTAGAAGAAATGGATAAATTCCTGGACACATACACTCTCCCAAGACTAAACCAGGAAGAAGTTGAATCTCTGAATAGACCAATAACAGGAGCTGAAATTGTGGCAATAATCAATAGCTTACCAACCAAAAAGAGTCCAGGACCAGATGGATTCACAGCCAAATTCTACCAGAGGTACAAGGAGGAACTGATACCATTCCTTCTGAAACTATTCCAATCAATAGAAAAAGAGGGAATCCTCCCTAACTCATTTTATGAGGCCAGCATCATCCTGATATCAAAGCCGGGCAGAGACACAACCAAAAAAGAGAATTTTAGACCAATATCCTTGATGAACATTGATGCAAAAATCCTCAATAAAATATTGGCAAACCAAATCCAGCAGCAAATCAAAAAGCTTATCCACCATCATCAAGTGGGCTTCATCCCTGGGATGCAAGGCTGGTTCAATATACACAAATCAATAAATGTAATCCAGCATATAAACAGAGCCAAAGACAAAAACCACATGATTATCTCAATAGATGCAGAAAAGGCCTTTGACAAATTCAACAACCCTTCATGCTAAAAACTCTCAATAAATTAGGTATTGATGGGACATATTTCAAAATAATAAGAACTATCTATGACAAACCCACAGCCAATATCATACTGAATGGGCAAAAACTGGAAGCATTCCCTTTGAAAACTGGCACAAGACATGGATGCCCTCTCTCACCACTCCTATTCAATATAGTGTTGGAAGTTCTGGCCAGGGCAATTAGGCAGGAGAAGGAAATAAAGGGTGTTCAATTAGGAAAAGAGGAAGTCAAACTGTCCCTCTTTGCAGATGACATGATTGTATATCTAGAAAACCCCACTGTCTCAGCCCAAAATCTCCTTAAGCTGTTAAGAAACTTCAGCAAAGTCTCAGGATACAAAATCAATGTACAAAAATCACAAGCATTCTTATACACCAACAACAGACAAACAGAGAGCCAAATCATGAGTGAACTCCCATTCACAATTGCTTCAAAGACAATAAAATACCTAGGAATCCACATTACAAGGGATGTGAAGGACCTCTTCAAGGAGAACTACAAACCACTGCTCAATGAAATAAAAGAGGATACAAATGGAAGAACATTCCATGCTCATGGGTAGGAAGAATCAATATTGTGAAAATGGCCATACTGCCCAAGGTAATTTACAGATTCAATGCCATCCCCATCAAGCTACCAATGACTTTCTTCACAGAATTGGAAAAAACTACTTTAAAGTTCATATAGAACCAAAAAAGAGCCTGCATCTCCAAGTCATTCCTAAGCCAAAAGAACAAAGCTGGAGGCATCACCCTACCTGACTTCAAACTATACTACAAGGCTACAGTAACCAAAACAGCATGGTACTGGTACCAAAACAGAGATATAGATCAATGGAACAGAACAGAACCCTCAGAAATAACACCACATATCTACAACTATCTGATCTTTGACAAACCTGAGAAAAACAAGCAATGGGGAAAGGATTCCCTATTTAATAAATGGTGCTGGGAAAACTGGCTAGCCATATGTAGAAAGCTGAAACTGGATCCCTTCCTTACACCTTATACAAAAATTAATTCAAGATGGATTAAAGACTTACATGTTAGACCTAATACCATAAAAACCCTAGAAGAAAACCTAGGCAATACCATTCAGGACATAGGCATGGCCAAGGACTTCATGTCTAAAACACCAAAAGCAATGGCAACAAAAGACAAAATTGACAAATGGGATCTAATTAAACTAAAGAGCTTCTGTACAGCAAAAGAAACTACCCTCAGAGTGAACAGGCAACCTACAGAATGGGAGAAAATTTTTGCAACCTACTCATCTCACAAAGGGCTAATATCCAGAATCTACAATGAACTCAAACAAATTTACAAGAAAAAAACAAACAACCCCATCAAAAAGTGGGCAAAGGACACGAACAGACACTTCTCAAAAGAAGACATTTATGCAGCCAAAAAACACATGAAAAAATGCTCATCATCACTGGCCATCAGAGAAATGCAAATCAAAACCACAATGAGATACCATCTCACACCAGTTAGAATGGCAATCATTAAAAAGTCAGGAAACAACAGGTGCTGGAGAGGATGTGGAGAAATAGGAACACTTTTACACTGTTGGTGGGACTGTAAACTAGTTCAACCATTGTGGAAGTCAGTGTGGCGATTCCTCAGGGATCTATAACTAGAAACACCATTTGACCCAGCCATCCCATTACTGGGTATATACCCAAAGGACTATAAATCATGCTGCTATAAAGACACATGCACACGTATGTTTATTGCGGCACTATTCACAATAGCAAAGACTTGGAATCAACCCAAATGTCCAACAATGATAGACTGGATTAAGAAAATGTGGCACATATACACCATGGAATACTATGCAGCCATAAAAAATGATGAGTTCATGTCCTTTGTAGGGACATGGATGAAATTGGAAATCATCATTCTCAGTAAACTGTCGCAAGAACAAAAAACCAAACATCGCATATTCTCACTCATAGGTGAGAAATTGAACAATGAGATCACATGGACACAGGAAGGGGAACAACACACTCTGGGGACTGTTGTGGGGTGGGGCGAGGCGGGAGGGATAGCACTGGGAGATATATCTAATGCTAGATGACAAGTTAGTGGGTGCAGCTTACCAGCGTGGCACATGTATACATATGTAACTAACCTGCACAATGTGCACATGTACCCTAAAACTTAACGTATAATAATAAAGAAAAAAAAAAGGAAAGGTGGCACATATACGCCATGGAATACTATGCAGCTATAAAAAAGGATGAGTTCATGTCCTTTGCAGGGATATGGATGAAGCTGGACACCATCATTCTCAGCAAACTAACACAGGAAAAGAGAACCAAACACTGCATGTTCTCACTTGTTAACTGGGAGTTGAACAATGAGAGCACATGGACACAGGGAGGGAAACATCACACGCTGGGGCTGCTGGGGGTTGGGGGTGCTAAGGGAGGGATAGCATTAAGAGAAATACCTAATGTAGGTGATGGGTTGGTGAGTGCAGCAAACCACCAGGGCACATGTATACCTATGTAACAAACCTGCACGTCCTGCACATGTATCCCAGAACTTTAAGTATAATAATAATAAAAAAGGAAATATAAAAAAGAAAAAAAAACAACAAAGTAACAGCCCTGCTTTTATTAGCCTAGTTCTGTTGTTCGCAACTAAGAGAAATGACCTAAAAGCTAATCAATTCAAAACCATTTGTAGCAGCTGAAGAATAATGAAAATATTGTTTCTGTGAAGGAAGAGATAAAATGTTTACATCAGCAGTAACAGTTCTAAGTTCATAAAACTATCAGAAAAGATTGTAAGATCTTTTTAGATAGTACAGTCTCATACCACTTTCTATCACAAATTTAGAAGTATTCATCAAGATGAATTTTAAGCACAAAACAAACAGTAAATAATTGAGGATTAAAAACACTAATCCTAAGGAATGAAAGCTTTGTCCATGTTGCTGTTAATTCTTACTTGTGTACATGAGATTATGACTGCCCTAGAGAAGTTAGTATCGCTAAATGGACTGATCTCCAAATCCATGCTTTTGATAATACATTTATAAATTTTTTAAAGAACATAATTTTTTATATACAGTGTTTCGTTTCTAGTGAGTACTTTTCAATTAAGTAACCTTGTTTTTAGAACTCTTTATATTTGATATCTCACAGATAGCTTGAGCTGACTGATAATGCAATCTTTCCTATTTTGATGTATCACTTGACTAATATTTTTCACAAAGTATGGTTCAACAGAGGGGAAAAAATACTTCAGAAAAGGTAAGTACCTAAAAGAGTGAAATGGGACTATTAATTATCTAGATATATACATACACTTTGCTATTAAAACGTAGCCTAAGATTATTTTTGGTTTTGAGAAGCCAGATGATAAGGATAAATTATAGTTATTTTAAAGTCAGTAAGAGCTTTAGGCTCAGTGTGGTGGCTCACACCTCTAATTCTAATACTTTGGGAGGCCAAAACAGGAGCATCACTTGAGTTCAGGAGTTCAAGACCAGCCTAGGCAAAAGAGCAAGACATTGTCTCTACCAAAAAAAAAAAAAAAAAAAAAAAAAAATATCAATAAATTAGCCAAGCAAGGTGGCTCACACCACCTGCGGTCCGAGCTACTCAGGAGGTAAAGGTGAGAGAATCACTTGGGCCCAGTAGGTCAAGGTTGCAGTAAGCCATGATCATGCTACTGCACTCCACCCTGGGTGACAGAGTGGAATCCTGTCTCAAAAAAAAAAAATAAATAAAACTTTAATTATAAGCATCAATTGTCTTTGAAAATTTAAAACTTCTCACTAAGTTGGCAAGACAGATTTAAGAATTTTGGAAGGCTGAGGTAGATAGCTTTTGCAGTATGTAGTATCAGCATAAAGCTGTGTGAAGAAAGAGCTCCAGGAAACTGAGTTCCCCATGAATCTGCTGCTGGATACTCTACTGCTCATGCACGAAGTAAAACTCCAAAAAGCCACACAAAGGATTGGTGAGCTGTGAGCTCAATAGTTATCTTGTGTGACTCTGGGAAACTAGATATGTCTCCGTATTAACAAGCAAGAGTGCTTCTGGAATACCCAGGGGATTCAGTAGTCAATTAAGAAGCCATGCCTTGATAATGGCCCTCAACTAGACTTTGTGTAAATGCCCTTTCAAATCTGCCCTAACAAATATTGAAGACATTCCTGCAAATGATCAAACTGATACTCAAGTAACTTAGTTTTCCAGAATAAAGTCTAGTAATATTTAATAGAACACATTGTATTAGCTTGCCAGGGCTGCTGTAACAAAGTACCACAAATTAATTTGGGTGACTTAAGCAGAAGAAATGTATAGTCTCACAGTTCTGAAGTTTGGAAGTCTGAGAATAAGATGTCAGGAGGGTTGGTTCCTTCAAAGGGCTGTGAGGAACAGTTCTGTTCCAGGTCTCTCTTGGAGGCTTATAGATGGGCATCTTCATGTTCACAGTGTGCTCTTCCTCTGTGTGTGTCTGTAACCAAATTCTTCCCTTCTCCATTAAATCAGTCATATTAATATACATAATATGATGTAAAAACAGCACTCAGGTTAGAAGCCCACACTCCAGTATGACTTCAACTTAAGTCATTACACCTGCAATGACCCTATTTCCATATAAAGTCACAATCTGAAGTATTGAGTGTTAGGACTTCAACATATGAATTGGGAGGAAGGGGCACATTTCAACCCATACTGTACACCAAACTTCTACATTAAAATATGTAAAATAAAAAACTGTAGCATCAAATAAAAAATTTCCAGGCATAAAATAAGCCGGAAACTGTGATTCACAGACAGAAGCAGCTGTCAATAGAAACAACAGCAGAAAATGACAACCACAATGAAATTAGCAGAAAAGAACTTCAAAAGAGCCATTAAAAATGTGTACCTGAATTTAAAAGAAAACATTATCCTGAAGAAAAGCAAAATGAAAATTATAAATTAGTACCAAATGGAAATTCTACAACTGCAAAAGAAACACGTCAAATGAAAAACTCACTAGATTAGATTAACCGAATAGTCTAATGTACGTATAATTAGAGTCCCAGGAGAAGTGAGACAGATAGAAAGAAAACAATGTTTTAAAGAATAATGGCCGCAATTTTTGCAAACATGATAAAAAACTAAGTCAACAGATTCAAAGCTCAGTAAAACATAATAAAATCACACTAAGGCATATTATGACAAACTTCCTGAAAATCAGTAATAAAGAGAAAAGCTTGAAAGATTCCAAGAAAAAATGGACATTTATACAGAGGATCAAAAATCAGATTAACTGCAGACTTTACATCTGAAAATATACAAACAAGAAGACAGTAAAATGACATCTTTAAAGTATTAAAAGAAGGGAGGAAACCCTATTTTCAAAAGAATTTTAAGTCCAGCAAAAATCTCTCTCAAAATTGAAGGGAAAATAAGATTAATAGCTGGAAAAATTTGTTGCCAGAACACCTGGATGAGAAGAAATGTTTAAGAAAGTTCTTGGGAGGCCGGGCACACAGTGGCTCATGCCTGTAATCCCAGCACTTTGGGAGACCAAGTCAGGTGGATCACGAGGTCAGGAGCTCGAGATCAGCCTGGCCAACATGGTGAAAACCCATCTCTACTAAAAATACAAAAATTAGCTGGGCGTGGTGGCACATGCCTGTAATCTCAGCTACTCAGGAGGCTGAGGCAGGAGAATTGCTTGAATCCGGGAGGCACAGGCGGCAGTGAGCCAAGATCCCACCACTGCACTTCAACCTGGGCAAGAGGGCAAGACTCCCTCTCAAAAAAAAAAAAAAAAAAAAGTTCTTGTGGCAGAAATATAGTATCAAACAATAACTTGGATCCACATAAACAAATGGAGAGTTCCAGAAATGATAAACATAAATAGAAAATACTTTGTAAAATTTTAATTTCTCTAAAAGATAAAAGAGTACCTAGAACATAAATAACTGCTAAGAGGATTAGACATAGGCAAAAGTAAGAAGCATGACAAAAAAACACAGAACCTAAGAGGGGAGTGGAATTATAATGTCATTAAGGCTCTTACATTATTCAAGAAATGGTATTATATTATTTGCAAGTAGACTATAATAAATTAGAGATACATATTTTAAGTGCTAGAACTACCACTAAAATTAGAAACAGAGGTATAGCTAAGAAGCCAATAGTATAAATAAGAAGAAGGACTACTAAAAAAATAGTCAATAAAAGAGAATGCAGGGAAAGATGAAAAAAAAAGCAAAGAACAGATGAAACAGTAGAAAACAAATATCAAAGTGGTAGACTTAAAACTATATTGAAGTTGCTTATCAACCTAAGGAGATTTTGGGCTGAAGCGATGGCGTTTTCTAGATATACAATCATGTCATCTGCAAACAGGGACAATTTGACTTCCTCTTTTCCTCACTAAATGCCCTTTATTTCCTCCTCCTGCCTGACTGCCCTGGCCAGAACTTCCAACACTATGTTGAATAGAAGTGGTGAGAGAGGGCATCCCTGTCTTGTGCCAGTTTTCAAAGGGAATGCTTCCAGTTTTTGCCCATTCAGTATGATATTAGCTATGGGTTTATCATAGATAGCTCTTACTATTTTGAGATACGTCCCATCAATACCTAATTTATTGAGAGTTTTTAGCATGAAGCGTTGTTGAATTTTGTCAAACGCCTTTTCTACATCTATTGAGATAATCATGTGGTTTTTGTCTTTGGTTCTGTTCATATGCAGATTACATTTATTGATTTTCGTATGTCAAACCAGCCTTGCATCCGAGGGATGAAACACACTTGATCATGGTGGATGAGCTTTTTGATGTGTTGCTGGATTCGGTTTGCTAGCATTTTATTGAGGATTTTTGTATCAATGTTCATCAAGGACATTGGTCTAAAATTCTTTTTGTTGTGTCTCTGCCCATCTTTGGTATCAGGAATGATGCTGGCCTCATAAAATGAGTTAGCATGGATTCCCTCTTTTTCTATTGATTGGAATAGTTTCAGAAGAAATGGTACCAGCTCCTCCTTGTACCTCTCGTAGAATTCGGCTGTGAATCCACCTGGTCCTGGACTTTTTTTGGTTGGTAGGCTATTAATTATTGCCTCAATTTCAGAGACTGTTATCAGTCTATTCTATTCGATTTGTGTTTGGCACACATAGCTTTCATTATTATTGTTTTCTAAATATTCTATTATGTGATTAAAAATTTTTCCTGCTGAATGGGGTTTCATATTTCTATTTTTGTTTTCTGGTTCTAACTTTTTTATAGTCAAACAGTATGTCCCATATTATTTCCATATTTAAATTTCTTCAGAGTTTTCTTATAGGTATGCCCTAACATATGATAATAATATGACCTATGGATGTTGTAAAGAAGCTGAACTCTCCAAGTTTCAGAATTGTGCATGTTTGGTATATTAATATCTACCCAAACACACCCCCTCATGTTTATATCAATCATAGATAGGTAAATGCATATATAAATACATGTTATATACACTGCATCTTTATTTGTCTCTTTCCTGAGCTGAGACATATTAAGTTAAAATCTCATAGCAAATAAAGTTTATTTTTCAATATAATTTTTGTGTCTCCCATATATTCACATATCTGTGTGAATACCCTAGAATTTTATATACATGAGATCATACGGTATGTGTTCGGTCTGCTTTCACTGTCTGTCTACATTCATTGTTTCTGATGAGAAATCTGCCATCCTTCTCTATTCTACACACAAAAGTCTTTTATCTCTCACTGCTTCTATCTATACTATCATTCAAACCATGGCTTTTGATACATCCCACACATTTTGATATTCTGTGTTTCATTTGCAATTAGTTGAAAATATTTCCTAATTTGCTTTGTGCATTTGATTTATGAGCTACTTAGAAGTGTGTTGATTAACTTTTAAATATTTGGGGATTTATTTTCTAGATATTTTCTGAATTTAATTCTAATTTATTGTCAAATAAAATGTTTTATATGAATTCGATCCTTATGAACTTATTCAGATTTGTTTTATGGCCCTAGAATATGGCTTATTCTGGTAAATATTCTACGTGCACTTGAAAATCATGTATAACTTGTGGGTTTGAGTTTATGTCCATTAAGTTTAATAGTATTATTTGCTTCTTCTATTGATTTATTGATTTTTCTGCCTACTCTTTCTATCAGTTACTCAGAGAGGAGTGTTAAAATCTCTAATTATAATTGCGGATTTGTCTATTTCTCCAGTCATTTATATCAGTATTTTTTTCATTACTGTGAAGTTCTATCATTAAATACTTGCCCTGTTGAGAGTCTTAAGTCTTCTTGGTAAATTAACCTGTAATCATTATGAAATGTCTCTCTTTATTTCAGGTAATAGTCCTAGTTCTGAAGTTTCCTTGTCTGATATTAATACTGCTACTTCAGCTTTGTTCTGATTTGTGTTTGCATAGTATAACTTTTTTAGTCATTTTACTTTGGACTTTTATCTGTATTTGTATTTAAAGTATTTTATTATAAACAGCTTTAAATATTTTTGAGTTTAACGCACTCTGCCTTTGCATTGGAATGTTTAAACATTTATATTTAATTTTATTATCAATATGGTTTTTTTTGTTCTTCCCTCCTTTTATTTTTTATTATTATTATACTTTAAGTTTTAGGATACATGTGCACAACGTGCAGGTTTGTTACATATGTATACATGTGCCATGTTGGTGTGCTGCACCCAGTAACTCGTCATTTAGCATTAGGTATATCTCCTAATGCTATCCCTCCTCCCTCCCCACAACAGTCCCCAGAGTGTGATGTTCCCCTTCCTGTATCCATGTGTTCTCATTATTCAATTCCCACCTATGAGTGAGAATATGTGGTGTTTGGTTTTTTTGTCCTAGTGATAGTTTGCTGAGAATGATGGTTTCCAATTTCATCCATGTCCCTACAAAGGACATGAACTCATCATTTTTTATGGCTGCATAGTATTCCATGGTGTATATGTGCCACATTTTCTTAATCCAGTCTATCATTGTTGGACATTTGGGTTGGTTCCAAGTCTTTGCTATTGTGAATAGTGCCACAATAAACATACGTGTGCATGTGTCTCTATAGCAGCAAGATTTAAAGTCCTTTGGGTATATACCCAGTAATGGGATGGCTGGGTCAAATGGTATTTCTAGTTCTAGATCCTTGAGGAATCGCCACACTGACTTCCACAATGGTTGAACTAGTTTATAGTCCCACCAACAGTGTAAAAGTGTTCCTATTTCTCCACATCCTCTTCAGCACTTGTTGTTTCCTGACTTTTTACTGATTGCCATTCTAACTGGTGTGAGATAGTATCTCATTGTGGTTTTGATTTGCATTTCTCTGATGGCCAGTGATGAGGAGCATTTTTTCATGTGTCTTTTGGCTGCATAAATGTCTTCTTTTGAGAAGTGTCTGTTCCTATCCTTCGCCCACTCGTTGATGTGGTTGTTTTTTTCTTGTAAATTTGTTTGAGTTCATTGTAGATTCTGGATATTAGCCCTTTGTCAGATGAGTAGGTTGCAGAAATTTTCACCCATTCTGTAGGTTGCCTGTTCACTCTGATGGTGGTTTCTTTTGCTGTGCAGAAGCTCTTTAGTTTAATTAGATCCCATTTGTCAATTTTGTCTTTTGTTGCCATTGCTTTTGGTGTTTTAGACATGAAGTCCTTGCCCATGCCTATGTCCTGAATGGTATTGCCTAGGTTTTCTTCTAGGGTTTTTATGGTTTTAGGTCTAACGTTTAAGTCTTTAATCCATCTTGAATTAATTTTTGTATAAGGTGGAAGGAAGGGATCCAGTTTCAGCTTTCTCCATATGGCTAGCCATTTTTCCCAGCACTATTTATTAAATAGGGAATCCTTTCCCCATTTCTTGTTTTTGTCAGGTTTGTCAAAGATCAGATAGTTGTACATATGCAGCATTATTTCAGAGGGCTCTGGATAAAGCAGACTTTAAACCAAGAAAAATCAAAAGAGACAAAGAAGGCCATTACATAATGGTAAAGGGATCAATTCAACAAGAAGAACTAACTATCCTAAATATACATGCACCCAATACAGGAGCACCCAGATTCATAAAGCAAGTCCTTAGAGACTTACAAAGAGACTTAGACTCCCACACAATAATAATAATGGGAGACTTTAACACCCCACTGTCAACATTAGACAAATCAACGAGACAGTAAGTTAACAAGGATATCCAGGAATTGAATTCAGCTCTGCAGCAAGCAGACCTAATAGACATCTACAGAACTCCCCACCCCCAAATCAACAGAATATACATTCTTCTCAGCACCACATCGCATGTATTCCAAAACTGACCACATAGTTGGAAGTAAAACACTCCTCAACAAATGTAAAATAATAGGAATTGTAACAAACTGTCTCTCAGACCACAGTGCAATCAAACTAGAACTCAGGATGAAGAAACTCACTCAAAACCGCTCAACTACATGGAAACTGAACAACCTGCTCCTGAATGACTACTGGGTACCTAATGAAATGAAGGCAGAAATAAAGATGTTCTTTGAAACCAACGTGAACAAAGACACAACATACCAGAATCTCTGGGACACATTCAAAGCAGTGTTTAGAAGGCAATTTGTAACACTAAATGCCCACAAGAGAAAGCAGGAGAGATCTAAAATTGACACCCTAACATCACCATTAAAAGAACTAGAAGAGCAAGAGCAAACACATTCAAAGGCTAGCAGAAGGCAAGAAATAACTAAGATTGGAGCAGAACTGAAGGAGACAGAGACATAAAAAACCCTTCAAAAAATCAATTAATCCAGGAGCTGGTTTTTTGAAAAGATCAACAAAATTGATAGACCGCTAGCAAGACTAACAAAAAAGAAAAGACAAGGATCAAATAGATACAATAAAAAATGATAAAGGGAATACCACCACTGATCCCGAAGAAATATAAACTACCATCAGAGGAGACTATAAACACCTCTACGCAAATATATTAGAAAATCTAGAAGAAATGGATAAATTCCTGGACACATACACCCTCCCAAGACTAAACCAAGAAGAAGCTGAATCCCTGAATAGACCAATAACAGGCTCTGAAATTGAGGCAATAATTAACAGCCTACCAACCAAAAAAAGTCCAGGACCAGATGGATTCACAGCCAAATACTACCAGAGGTACAAAGAGGAGCTGGTACCATTCCTTCTGAAACTATTCCAATCAATAGAAAAAGAAGGAATCCTCCCTAATTCATTTTATGAGGCCAACATCATACTAATACCAAAGCCTGGCAGAGACACAACAAAAAAGAATTTTAGACCAATATCCCTGATGAACATCGATGCAAAAATCCACAATAAAATACCAGCAAACCAAATCCAGCAGCACATCAAAAAGCTTTTCCACCAAGATCAAGTGAGCTTCATCCATGGGATGCAAGGCTGGTTCAACATATGCAAATCAATAAACATAATCCATCATATAAACAGAACCAACGACAAAAACCACATGATTTTCTCAAGAGATGCAGAAAAGGCTTTTGACAAAATTCAACAGCCCTTCAGGCTAAAAACTCTCAATAAACCAGGTATTGATTGGAGGTATCTCAAAATAATAAGAGCTATCTATGACAAACCCACAGCCAATATCATACTGAATGGGCAAAAACTGGAAGCATTCCCTTTGAAAACTGGCACAAGACAAGAATGCCCTCTCTCACCACTTCTATTCAACATAGTGTTGGAAGTTCTGGCCAGGGCAATCAGGCAGAAGAAGGAAATAAAGGGTATTCAATTAGGAAAAGGGGAAGTCAAATTGTCCCTGTTTGCAGATGACATGATTGTATATCTAGAAAACCCCATTGTCTCAGCCCAAAATCTCCTTAAGCTGATAAGCAACTTCAGCAAAGTCTCAGGATACAAAATCAATGTACAAAAATCACAAGCATTCTTATACACCAACAACAGACAAACAGAGAGCCAAATCATGAGTGAACTCCCATTCACAATTGCTTCAAAGACAATAAAATACCTAGGAATCCAACTTACAAGGGATGTGAAGGACCTCTTCAAGGAGAACTACAAACCACTGCTCAATGAAATAAAAGAGGATACAAACAAATGGAAAAACATTCCATGCTCATGGGTAGGAAGAATCAATCTCGTGAAAATGGCCATACTGCCCAAGGTAATTTACAGATTCAATGCCATCCCCATCAAGCTACCAATGACTTTCTTCACAGAATTGGAAAAAGCTACTTTAAAGTTCATATGGAACCAAAAAAGAGCCTGCATCGCCAAGTCAATCCTAAGCCAAAAGAACAAAGCTGGAGGCATCACGCTACCTGACTTCAAACTATACTACAAGGCTACAGTAATCAAAACAGCATGGTACTGGTACCAAAACAGAGATATAGACCAGTGGAACAGAACAGAGCCCTCAGAAATAATACCACACATCTACAACCATCTGGTCTTTGACAAACCTGACAAAAACAAGCAATGGGGAAAGGATTCCCTATTTAATAGATGATGCTGGGAAAACTGGTTAGCCATATGGAGAAAGCTAAAACTGGATCCCTTCCTTACACCTTATACAAAAATTAATTCAAGATGGATTAAAGACTTAAATGTTAGACCTAATACCATAAAAACCCTAGAAGAAAACCTAGGCAATACCATCCAGGACATAGGCATGGGCAAGGATTTCCTGTCTGAAACACCAAAAGCAATGGCAACAAAAGCCATAATTGACAAATGGAACCTAATTAAACTAAAGAGCTTCTGCACAGCAAACGAAACTACCCTCAGAGTGAACAGGCAACCTACAGAATGGGAGAAAATTTTTGCAATCTACTCATCTCACAAAGGGCTAATATCCATAATCTACAAAGAACTCAAACAAATTTACAAGAAAAAAACAACCACATCAACGAGTGGGCAAAGGATATGAACAGACACTTCTCAAAAGAAGACAGTTATGCAGCCAAAAGACACATGAAAAAATGCTCATCATCACTGGCCATCAGAGAAATGCAAATCAAAACCACAGTGAGACACCATCTCACAACAGTTAGAATGGCCATCAGTAAAAAGACAGGAAACAACAGGTGCTGGAGAGGATGTGGAGAAATAGGAACACTTCTACACTGTTGGTGGGACTGTAAACTAGTTCAACCATTGTGGAAGACAGTGTGGCGATTCCTCAAGGATCTAGAACTAGAAATACCATTTGACCCAGCCATGCCATTACTGGGTATATACCAAAAGAATTATAAATCATGCTGCTGTAAAGACACATGCACACATATGTTTATTGTGGCGCACTATTCACAATAGCAAAGACAGGGAACCAACCCAAATGTCCATCAATGATAGACTGGATTAAGAAAATGTGGCACATATACACCATGGAATACTATACAGCCATAAAAAAGGGTGAGCTCATGTCCTTCGTAGGGACATGGATGAAGCTAGAAACTGTCATTCTCAGCAAATTATGGCAAGAACAGAAAACCGCACACCACATGTTCTCACTCATAGGTGGGAATTGAACAACAAGAACACTTGGACACAGGAAGGGGAACATCACACACCAGGGCGTGTTGTGGGGTGGGGGGAGTGGGGAGGGATAGCATCAGGATATATACCTAATGCTAAATGACGAGTTAATGGGTGCAGCACACCAACATGGCACATGTATATATATGTAACAAACCTGCACGTTGTGCACATGTACCCTAGAACTTAAAGTATAATAATAAAAAAAAAGCACAGAAAAAAAATACACACGCACAGAAAAAGAAATATATTATTTTAATGCATACTTTGGGAACAACCATCTAGCCATTTAGAAAAGAACTAAGTTGGATTTCATGTTCATGTTTTGTACCAAATCACTTCCAAATGGATCAAACTCTACTTGTTAAAATAGAAATCATTCAATGCTGTATGTGGAAATTTTTTTAAAAATAAGTCATTAAAATACCAGAAGGAATCTTGGGAGATACTTCAAAATAAAGTAATTTTGGATAGAAATCATGAGGATGGCCTTTTAAAGGATGGTTTGAAAGTCTCAAAATACTAAATGAAGTGGAAAATTTACATCATGGTAAAGAACATCACCAATAAAGTCAAGAAATGAATGACTTTCATGGGAAAGGTTTTCCAATTTCCTTAAATTCTAGTGATTGTACATGAAAAACATCTGGTAAACTGATGGGTTGTCATGGTATATGCAGAGATAGGGTGCTGGGCACAGTGGCTCACACTGGTAATCCCAGCACTTTGGGAGGCTGAGGTCGGTGGATCCCTTTAGTCCAGGAGTTCAAGATCAGCCTGGGCAACATGGTGAAACTCCATCTCTACAAAATATGCAAAAATTAGCCAGGAGTGGGGGCATGCAGCTGTAGTCCCAGCTATTTGGGAGGATGACGTGGGAGAATCACTTGAGCCCTGGAGGCAGGAGGTTACAGGTGAGCCAAGATTGCAGTACTATACTTCAGCCTGGGTGACAAAAGCGAGACCCTGTCTCAAAAAAAAAAAAAAAATAAAAAAAAAATAAAGGAATTATATAACTTTATGGAACACTGTGGCAATGCATCATAATTTAAAATGTGTATACCTTTGACCAAGGAATCCCAGTTGTGAGATTTCTTTTCAGAAATCATCTAACAAGTGGCAAAAAATATTTAATTATAGATTTCTAAGAGGAAAAAAATAGAAGCAACAGAATTCCATAAACAGAGATTAAATGAATATGCTATATCCATACAATGGATATTAGGCAAATAAATTCCCCTTCAGAAAATCTGTATATTCATATTCACATGTGTGTATATGGATGGATACATACACACACACATATACACAACATATACATACACACACAAAACACACATAGACCATGTCTTAGTCTCTCTGAGCTGCTGTCTACGAAGTACCATAAACTAGGTAGTTTATAAACAATAGAATATTATTTCTCACAATTCTGGAGTCTAGGAAGCCCAAAATCAAGACGTCAGCCAGTTTGGTGTCTGGTGAGTGCTCCGTCTGTTTCATAGATGGCAGCTTCTTGCTGTGTCCTCCCATGGTGGAAAGGACAAACAAGCTCCCACGTGTCCCTTTTATAGGAGCACTAATTCTATTCATGAGGCCAGAGTCCTCATGACCTAATCACCTCCCCAAAGCCTCACCCCTTAATACCATCACATTAACGATTAGTTTTCAACCTATGAATTTTAGAGGGACACAGACATTCAGGCCACAGTATATCACACCATAATTTTGTATTACTTTTATAATCTAAGTACAAAATTAAATGAATAAAACTCCTACTCTGGAATATAGATTACTAGAGAAATGAGAAAAAACACAACTTCTGTTTAATTATCACACAGTAATTCAAAATACACATTTTAGACTTTTATAAACCTAGGTCTCGCTATGTTAAAAGATACTTTTTAAAGCTCAACTTCCTTCTGCTCTTCTAAGCACCTATATTCCAAAAGCATGAATTATAATGTTATGAAAGTTTTCTACTTAAGATCATCATACATAAAATTTAATTCCATGTATTTATTTCTAAGAAGTACATTATGTAGAAAAGCTTCTGTATTTCTTATATTTAATAAGCAATTCCACCCCAGCAGGTAGCACTTCCTGTTTCAGGAAAAAGCAGAACTCATAGTGAGCTGGTTTCTATATTTAAAAATTCCAGAGATCTTATCATGTTTCTAGCAAGCTACAAAGTGCAATTCTTCAGGACCTTTTCAACAATGGAAACAAAGAAGATCAGAAGAGACTGAGTAATAGAAGTCTATGTCATTCCCAGTCCTGGAAAGACTATGAAGCCCATTGCATCACATTCCACATTTCCCAAAAACCTATGTTTACTAGAGCTGGGCTGAACGTACTAAATTAGAATAATACTGTACCACTTTCCTGAGAATCAACTGAAAACAAACTGGTCCCTGAATTATAACTACTCTTTCTTTTGCAAATGTCTGGAATTATTTCTATGTAATTTTTGTCAATGATAAAAATTAGCACATTTTTCCAGCTATGATATATGATACCACTACAAAGGTAAAACAGAGCAATTTAGAGTGTAATTCTCATACTTTGGCAAATTACCGTAAGTGCAACACAGATCTCTTCAAAAGATATAATGTACCTACCTCAAATCTTTCATAGTAAAACTACTCTTCAATGTTGATGGTATAATATGACGATTTACAGAAGAAAATCAAAGCCAATACTATCATGCTAAAATGTTTTGTTACATTTGCCCACTTTTTATATTAGCAAAAAAAATCAAGAATCTTACATTTTAAAATGTGAATACTTAGTAGTTTCTGAGGTTTTTAAAAACTTCTGATTGCCCTTGTTAAGCACATAAAACAAGAAAAGATGATTAATTATTCTTAACCATCAATGCATCTATTTACCTACTGTGATAGCTATTTGGACCAAAATTAAACGACAAGAATGAGCAATGCTTTCATTGGAAGTGGTTTCAAGACCTTATTATAACTCTCTGTCATCTGCTATAATCAGGGAAAGAGTATTTGGTTAATCGAATTTATTTTGGTGTTAAGAAATCATCTAAGTACATAAGGCATGGCACATGAGCTCTGACTTGTACAACAGCAAATGGTGACATGATTAAATGAGACACCTCTCTAGGGGAAAGTGATTGGAGAATGCATAATTATAGGTTTTAGAGTGATTTGCATGTAAAATCCAATCAACTAGGAGACAAGGTTACTTGATGCAGACTTAAGCTGGCTTCTTATGTTTAGAGGATTAAGTATCTGGAAGAATAAGGATGGATTTCTGCATCAGTCAAGGTCTTGTCTGGAGATAGAAACTACTGCAGTTATTTCAACAGAGAAAATTCAATATGAATTAACTGCCAACCAGGTATAAGAAAACAGAAAATGTACTACTACTACTACTACTAATAAAAGATGCTGAAGAATCTAAGAAGCCGTTACTATACTAGGACGCTACAACCCCTAGGCCTGAGAATATCAATTCAAATTCAATCACAGTCCAATCCTTGTATAAAACTAGAGAAAGACAAAAATAAGAAATTAATTAAATCAATTCCTAAGTGGTTTGTGGTTTTCAGTTTCTATATTTCTTATCGATTTCCAGGTTTTATTTAACAGTACAATAATGAGGTCTGTATTTTTCTATACTTGAATTTTTTATTTTAGTTTTGCGGGTATGCCCTACTAAGTAGTCATTTTTAAGTGTTCAATGGGTGCTTCAAAGCAGGCAAACTGTATTTATAAGGTTCAATATTGTATTTAGTATGTGTGTTGACACATACAAATATAAACACACATATACATATAAGTGTGTATAATTTTTATTTTGTAGATGTCTGTCCATATTCACTAGTGGTTAAATCCATAAAATGTAAATAAAATATATGTGTACGCATTTAACTTTGATACACCTATTTATGAAATTTAAGTCTTCTATCTCTTCATTTGTTTTTTGCCTAAACTGAGAGATACAAATTAAAATTGCTCCTGATGCAATTGACTTTCTGTTGTGATCATCATGTAGATACTGGATGAAACTCCCATCTAAAACTCTGTCAAAACTAGTGATGGCCACATGTATATGCTGAGAGGGTTTGAAAAAGTTTATTCTTCATAGAGTGACGCTTTCTTGAGAGAGCAAAGCAGGATCTCAAACAGGTCCAAACATGACTTGGGAGAAAGGTCAGAAAGGAAACTGGCCTAGCTTTCTATATGGTTAAGGGGTTGAGTTTGGGGTGAGCGTTCCCACAAACATGAGCCAGGGCTCATGAGTTTGAGCTTACCACCACCACCAAGCAAGGGTGCAGGAAGCTTTCGAATTGGCTTGCCCAGATGTGGGACAGAAAGGCAAAGGGAGCGGATAACTTGATAGCTGTCAGGAACCAAATCTCAAAAATGGAGTCAGACATTTTATTATAATTTCTTATTAAATAGCCTGTTATTTTGGCAATATATATTTTGATGATGAGCTATTTGGTACATGGTGATTCAGGACAATTCGATTTTCACAGCTTGAGTTATAGCCTTTCTCATTTAAAAGTGTCCCTCTACTTCATTAGTGTGTTTGCCCCACAATTCAACCTTCTCTTGCAATAAGCTGCTTTCTGCTTTTTTTGTTGTTTTATCTGGCTTGCTTTGTTTTCTCCCATGCTTGTGTGTGTGTGTGTGTGTGTCTGTGTGTGTGACATTTCTGAAGCACGTTGATTTAGAGTTTAGAAATCTGTTTAGTTTGAATTTTTTTATCGTTTGATCTAATATAACTTGTTCTAGTTGAATTTATTTGTGAATATATTACCAAAGTATTTTTATTTTATATTTTGTTTTCTGATAAATATGTCCTGTCAAGTTTTCGACATGGTTGTGGTTTGGCTTGTTTTGTAGGCCTTTGAGTTTCTTTTTTCTAAAAGTAATTTAGAACGTTTATAGATAGCATATTTTTTCTAGTTTACTTATAGAAATTATGAAAATATAAGTGCATTTATTTTTACTTTTGTACTTAGAAACTTTAGATAGAATCTACTGACTTTTCTCTTTACCAGATAAAAAAATTAGCGTTTTTAAATTCATTTATGCCTGAGGTCGCAATTTTTTAAGTTTTTGCAATGACACTTTGGCAATGACCTTGAGCAGTAGAACATAAATAACTCCCACGATTAACGTTCAATAATGGAACATTTATACTAGGCATAAATGAGGTCTTATCTCACTTGTTCATCCTCATGTCCATCTGATTTTCATAAGGTTATATTTTAATATTACTTTGTGGTTGTATACAAAACTTATGTCCTCTAATCGCAGACTCAACAGCTGTTTGGCATCAACACTTTAAAAAGAGATGTTGTAATAACTGCAAGTCCTTTCAATTCACATCTCTCTTTTGTTTTGAGTCATCCATTGGTTGGCTGATGTGGTCATCAAGGATCTTTAAATGACAGGGTCATTACCAAGTCATACATCCATGGGGGATGTTGATTTTTTTTTCCCCTTAAAACTTGAATATGAAATCTGTATTCTAATTTATCAGTCACATTTTTCCTCAGATTATTGCAACATTTATTTAACAGTATACCAGAGTTTGCTAAGACTGTGTAAAATGAAGCTATTTTGATTTTTTTACTTCCTATAGGGTGATTTATGTTTGCCTAGAACCAGGTAGAAGTATTCAGCTTTGAAGTTCAATAACTTTATTGCTATGTCCAATGTTTATCAATTTATGTCTATTTTGAAAATGCAGATATTCTGTGATTTAACACAATATAATGTTGATTGCAAATTCTTCCTAGAGCATGTTTTTAGAAATTATACTTTTATTACCCTCTCAACTAATGTGCCATTGTTTTCTAGTTTATAAAATCTATCTTATATTAGTGTTTTAGATTTTCACAGAAATGTACATTATCATCTGTATTAAATAGATTTTGGGCATCATCTAGTGATCATAAGTTTTCTTTTTTGATACCATATATAATGGATTAATAATTTTAAGCAATAATTTTATTTTTTCTATAAATACTCCTTGGTCAAAGTGTAATTATATTATAGAATTTGGCTAATATTTTATATATTCTCTTTCATATTTCAGAGAAGATAGTTTATAGTTTTTTTCACTACAATTTTTTTTTTCTTTTTTATCAATTTTGGGCATCAGGTTTCTGAAACTACAGATCACTTGGAAAACTTTTCACCTTTTGTATGTATGGAACTTTTTTTAGTATCATAGGCATTATATTTTCTTAAAAGTTTAAAAGAACTCACCAGTATCATTTGGCTTTTCAAAAACAAATCTATCTTAAACTCAAAACATTATTTATGCAAATGATTTATCTAAACACATTGTTTTATGCAAATTTGAATTACATATTTACACTTTTCTTTATTGGTTAAAAAACATTATAGTTTTTTAATTTATTACTTTATTCAGTTAATTTATCTAAAGAAATTTTTGTTCTATATGTTTTAGATTTACCAAAACAAATATTTATCCCGTTTATTATTGTTCATTATTTCTTTTATGTCAATGCTTCCATCGGGATCATTTTCCTTTTATCTGATAAACACCTGTTAGTAACTATAGATAAGGCTTTAAGTTTATATTTATTTTAAAATGTCCATTTTTATATTTTATATTTTTATAACCGCTTTGAGATATACTTTACATGCCTTAAAATTTAAAGTGTACAATTCAGTAAGTTTAAGTATATTCAGAGTTGTACCATGATTATCACTCTTTAATGTGACAATATT
Source organism: Homo sapiens (assembly GCF_000001405.40). Lineage (NCBI taxonomy): Eukaryota > Metazoa > Chordata > Mammalia > Primates > Hominidae > Homo > Homo sapiens. Next base: position 23,828,155 of record NC_000006.12, read on the forward strand.
TTCATCATCCCCCAAAGAAGTCCCATACCCATTAGTACTCACTTTCCAATGCTTCCTCCCATGGCATTTCTTAGAAATCACTAATCTACTTTGCCTCTGAATTTGCTTTTTCTAACATTTTATATAAATGTAATCATACATATCAGGGCCTTTTGTGTCGGCTTCTTTCACTTTGCGTAATGTTTTCAAGATTCAGGATTTTCTGTAATTGAATCTCTAGATATTTAATTTGTTCCTTTGCATAGCAAATAATATTTCATATTTTTAACCATTCTTTAGTTGAACATTATGTTATCACTTTTTGATTATTACAAATAATGCTGTTATGAACATCTATTTCAAATTTTTATGTAGACATATGCTTTCAATTCTCTTGAGTATAACCCCAAAAAAGGAATTACTGAGTTAAATAACTGTTAAATTTTTGAGATATTACCAAACTGTTTTCCAACGTGATTACACAATTTTGCAATCCCACCACCAATGTATGAAGGTCCAATTTCTCCACATCCTCACTTGTGTTTGTCTTTACTTAAGCTATCTTAGAGAATGTGAAGATGTAGCTCACTGTGGTTTTGATTTGCATTCCTATAGTGACAAATGATGTTGAACATGTTTTCATGTACTTATTGTCTATTTTAATATAATCTTTGGAGAAATGTCTATTCAAATCCTTTGTTCATTTTTAAATGGGATTACTTGTCTATTGTTGAAAGAATATTTGATGTATTCTGGATATATTCCCTTATCAGATATATGATTTGTAAGTATTTTCATCTATTTTGTGGGTAGTCTTTTTCACTTTTTTTTCCTTTGAGATTGAGTCTTGCTCTACCAGGCTGGAGTGCAGTGGTGCAATCCCGGCTCACTGCAACCTCGGCCTCCCGGGTTCAAACGATTCTCCTACGTCAGCCTCCCAAGTAGCTGAGATTACAGGTGTGAGCCACTGCACCCGGCCTTGTCAACTTTCTTGATGGTAGGTGTCCTTTGAAACAAAAAGTCCTTAATCTTGATCAAATTCAATTCATCTACTTTTTCTTTTGCTGCTTGTGCTTCAGTATCATATCAAAGAAACTTATGCCAACTGCAAGATCATACTTATTTCCACCTAAGATTTTTTTCTAAGAATTTTATAGTTTTAGTCTTTTAATTAGATCTATGATATGTTTTCAGTTAAACCTCAGTATCTGGTCTGAGAAATGGGTCCAAAATCATTCTATTGTATGTGTCTCTCTAGTTAATCTAACATTGTTGAAAAACCATTCTTTTTCCCAGTGAATTATCTTAGAACCCTTGTAAATCAAGCTGACCATAACTGTAAGCATATGTTTTTTGGACCCTCAATTCTATTTCATTCATTTATATGTCTTATTATGTCAATACCACACTCTTTTGATTACTGTAACTTTGTAGTACGTTTTGAAATTGAGCATGAATCCTCTGATTTTTTTTTTTCAAGATTGTCTTGGCTATTACAGGCCTTTGTATTTTCATGTAACTGTTCATGTCAGCTTGTCAATTTAAAAAAATAACAACTTTTTAAAAACACCTGGAACTTTGATACAGATGTGTTCAATCTGCAGGTCAGTTTGGGAAGTATTGCCGTCTTAACACTGTTAAGTCTCCCAATCAATAAGCATGGCTATCTTTTTACTTAATTCTTTAATTTCTTTTAATTATATACTGTAGTTTTCAGTGTACAAGTCTTGCACCTGTCTGGTAAAATTATTGCTAAATTTTTGTTTTTATGCTATTATAAATGTAATTGTGTCCTTTATTTTCAGATTTTTATTGTTAGTGTACAGAAATACAATTGATTATTGTATAGTCATCTTGTATCCTACACGCTTGCTGAACTTATTAGCTCTAATAGACATTTTTGTGGACTCTTTAGGGATTTTCTATATACAAATTTATATAATCTGAATATACAATAGTTTTGCATTTTCCTTTCCAAACTGAATGCCTTTTTTTTTTTTTTGCCTAATTTCCATGGCTTGAACTTTTAATACTGTGTCAAATAAGTATATAAAGTAGATTTGTCTATCATTTTGCCATTTTTAACATGTATCTCATGTGCTTTTGCCTATTTCTACCTCCATTACTGTCATCTTTTGTGTTAAAATGCTATTTTCTATCATTTTAATTATCTTATTGTTTCTTTTCCTATGTCCATTAAGTTATTTTTTAGTGGTATCCTTGGGGATTTCAGTTAGCATTTTAAATAATCTATCTTGAATTAATATCAACCTAATTTCTTACTATCCAAAACCTTTGCACCAATATAGCTGAATTCCTTTCCTGTTACTTAGTGCTACCATTGTCATACAAATTATACCTAATTATTGCTCTATGCACTTGTCTTTTAAGAATAAAAAAACTGCAAGCAAAAATACCTTTCATGTTTGCCTTTGTAGTTAACTTTATCAGTACTCTATTTCTACATGTGCACTTAAATTACTGTCTAAAATTGTTTCATTTTAGCCTAGAAAATTCTTTTTTAGTAATTTTTGTAGGGTGAGTTGCTAGCAACAAATTTTCTCAGTTTTTGTTTACCTGGAAATGTCTTAATTTCTCCTTTGTCTTATAAGGGATATTTTGTTAAGTACAGAATTTTGGTCTGGCAGTCTTTCCCCTTCAATAATTTAAATATGTGATCCACTGACCTCTGGATTCCATGATTTGCTGTTAATCTTATTGATGCTCCCTTGTAAATGAAGGAATCCTCATTTGGATTCTTTTGGATACTCTCTTTGCCTTTGACTTTGACAGTTTGCCTATGATGAGCTAAGGTATGAATCTCTTTGTGTTTATCTTAGAGTTCATTGAGCTTTTTGAGCGCACAGATTTTTTTTTAATTTTCCCCTCTCCTCTTCTCTAAAAGTCACATCATACACATGTTGATACATTTGATGGGCTCTCATAAACCTTTGAAGCTCTGTTCATTTTTCTTAATTCCTTTTCTTTTACTTCTCTAACTAGATAACTGCAATTAATAGGCCTTCGAGCTCACTGATTCATTCTTCTGCCAGTTCAATTTGCTGTTGAGCCTTTCTTGTGAATTTTTCATTTCAGTTATTGTGCTTTTTAATACTATAATTTGTATTAGGTTCTTTTTCATATATCTTTGATATTTTCTATTTGTTGAGACATTCTTCTTATAATTTCTTTAGATATGGTTTACTTTTGTTCTCTGAACATATTTACAATGAATGATTTAAAGTCTTTATCTAGTAAGACCGATGTCTGAGCCTCCTCAGGGAAAGTTTATGTTGACTGTTTTTCCCCACTTTTTATCAACCACACTTTTTTCTTTGAACATCTCATTTTTGCTGTTGAAAACTGTACATTTAAGTAATTTAATGTGGAAACTGAGAATTAGCATCCTTTTCTACTCAGTTTTTTGGTGGTAGTTTATTGAGATAGTGGTAGCTGTGGTGTTTGTTTTCTTAGTGACTTATCTATACTGATTTTATAAAATCTGCATTCTTTGTTATATACAGCCACTGAAGTCTTTTCCTGGTTATCCTAGTGGTCAGTTGATGTTTGGACAGAGATCTTAAATGCCTTGAGCCAACTAGTTTTATGTTTTCTTCCGTATTTTCCATTCATCTGTCTCTATTATCGAATATTGACTAATTTTCTTAAACTTACCTTTCTTTGCATGAACAATATCTTCAGCTATGTCTAATATGCTGTTATCATCCATTGTACCTTTAATTTACAATATTTTACTTTCAGTTCTAAAGTTTTTATATGTTTCTCATTCAAATATATTTTAGATACTATTTTCCTGCTATATTTCTCAGGTTTTTTTTCTCTTATCTTTCCCCATCACTGCAAGGGTGTGGAAGCTCTGTTCAACCCCTCTGGTTCTCAACTTCTTCTCCCATAATTAGTGAATATTTCTAGCAAAAATACAGCTCCAAATACCATATTCGAATTCATAGGTTGCCTCTGCATCTTGACCCAGTGACTCATTTATCAAGACCCATAAAATTTTAATACACAATAATTGTACTTCTGGATACCTATCTTAAGGAAATAACCTGAATATAGACAGATTTATATAAAAAAATTCAGAGCAGAATTCATAAGAGAAAGTGTGGAAAAATTAAGTGTTCAATAATCAGAGAAGCACATATTAATTTGTTAAAATAGTATGCAGTCATTATTAATGATGTTTTCAAATGATTTTTATAACCTAACAAAGTATTCATAATTTAATATTAAATACAAGTTCAGGGAAAATATGGTTTATGTAATTACTTCTTAAAATACAAGTATTCATAACATAAAATGAAAGAAAATACTCTCAAAACTGTGGCAATAGAGGTGATTTTAATTTTTTCTTTGTACTTTCCTAAAATTTCCGTAACTAATAATTAGTAAGGAAACCAATTCTATTTCAAATGAAAAAGTGAATTTGAACTAGAAGGAGGCCCTGTTCATTTCTATGTGTGCTTGAGAGAAGAGGAATGTGACCCCATCTCTTTTTCTCCAACACAGGGTGCTCTTTTTTGCCTTTATTCTCACCTGTGCTGCTGACATATTTGTTTTCATGCTGTCAGATTGTCACACATTTTCTTGAGAGGGGTTGGTTCTGATGCATCTTACATCTTTTTGTATTTCTGAATATGACCACAGGGATGAATTCATGATGAATATTTAAGCTGTTGGAAAGGTTACAAGCACCTCACCTCATGGGCCATGATAACTGACAGCCTGTTCAATATTCTAATGAAAGTGATGACACATGTCTGGAGGGGTCTCAATGTAGACTTCATCTTCTGACATCATTAACATGTATTAGCGATCTCTGAATATGAACTCTTTCCAGAATTATCAAAAATAGCTGGATAATGGGATAATAATTGAGTCCAACTCTTTAAAATTTGTATCAGGATAACATCTATGAACGCTGTTATCATTTGCCTCTACTAAATCCTGGTGTTTTAGCAAAGTATCTTTCATTTTTCCTCACAGAAGCAATTTTCTTTGTTCATTACATTAATAATATTTCTTGTTGGCAATCCAAGTAATTAATCCACCATGAGTGTATCTAGCTTAAACATGCTAATCTTTTTGTAATTTTAAAGTAGGAAATGAGACATCATCTCACAGATAATTAGTTTTAGCAGCTCCACATTGTATCTTACAAATGATGGGAAACATTGATTTATGAATCAGCCAGAAAATATAATTTCATGGGTTGTGTTGCAAAAAGACATTATGTGACATCAGATGGCATATTTAGGCAAAGGAGAACCTAAAATGGTTGAGAAATTTTAAAAGCCAGAAATTAAGACTCGGGAAGATATTATGACAGAAGCTAAGATCTTTAATTTTGAGACAAGACAGACAATAAACAAAGATGGGTCAAGACCAAGTTGTACATTAGGTAAATATTTTTGGTTAACAATGTTTTGTTTTCCCTGGGGAATAAACCTGAGGCTAGTGGAGCAAGACCAATTTTAGAAGAAACATTTTCAGCATAAAGTGTCTCATTGATGAGTTGAGCTCAAGTGCAGTTATGGCCAATACTGACCCCAGCCAATGCAGATGGCACTAACAAATTCTAAGTTATGGTCACTGCTGGAAGTTAAGCAGGTTATGATCAGGTTTTGAGAGACCTGTTGATTCATGGCAGTATTCCAGCTGGAGAGAAATGAAGCACTGGATCCAATAACTTGGATGAATGCCTGGAAATTGCTAGAGTATGTCAGAACTAGGTTAAGAGCATAGTTCAACCACAAGAGGAAAACCTGAGGTACCAGATCAGGAAATTCTACTGTAGAGTGGAAATGAAGGTAGGATTTTTTCTTACATTTAGTAGATATATATATTATATATAATAATATGTATTTATTATATAATTATATATATAATTATATATTATATATATTATATATAATTATAGATTATATAGATTATATATTATATATTATTATATAATAATGTATATAATATATTATAATATATATTTATTATATATTATAATATATATATTATTATATATATATTATAATATATATAAAATAAATATATATTTATATTCAGGGAGAAGAAGTTGAAAGGAAAACATATTTCTTTATTCCAGAGATTACATGGATACCTGGAGCTAACCTATGACACAAAGGTTATCTACTCTGTAGATATTAGGCCAAATGCCAGCACTTCTGAATGGTAGTTCACATGTTAAGAGAGTATTGGATATTTGGAAGAGAGGATGGAGGAAAGGTAAATTTAGAACAGGTACAAGTAATTATTTTTGAGACAGGTAGAGGGAAAATTACTAGAACCTTTTTTCAATATTTTCTTAATTAGAGATGTGGTATCTGCTGGGTTCTGACGTGGGTTTGACCTAGATGAAGGTAAAGGTTATGACTCTCAACTGAGCAGCAGTTGAAAATCATCTTTGATAAAAATGAAGGCTTTCTCTTTAGTTATATATTCAAAGATATTCTTATCAAAACTTTTCAAATTGTTCAGCACATTGATGGCCATAAGTAGAGCTTAAGGTGGCAAATGTGTTGTGAGCAGAGAAGTACTCACACACTCTAACTAGATAGCCTTATTCTTCAAACACTCCCATTAAGAGAAGAGTGATGTCTACCATTGCTGGAATTTATGGGTCTAGCAATCAAAAGATGGAAGCAAGAGTGACTCCTCCTCCCACCATTACACATAATAACCCATCCACAGAGTTTTTTTATTCTTCTTCCTCAAATTTTGAACTCTAATTTCAATGTCTGTTCTCCCAACACAGCAGTGCATTCTCTAGGGGACAGCAATAATTTCATCAGATTCAAAGTCGGGGCTGCTACCTGCTCATTTGGGCTATACATACAATCAAACCTACAGACAGAAAGCAAGTGGTTTATGCTGCTGAAGGGAGTGATTTACCCTGACACCAGGGAAACTGGGTTGCTGCTATACACTGGGGAGTGGAGTGCTAGGTACAGAAGTGAAGGTCATCTCTGGGGTACCCCTTAGTACTTCTATATCAAGGACTTAGTACTTGAAAAATAGTACTTCTATTTTTCCTATGTCTAATGAAAAATTTCAACAAATCCCCACAACAGTCCCCACAACAACTCCCAGTGAAAAAAAAAAAGGCATACTCCCTGACGATTCAGACTCTTCAGAAATGAAGTCTGGGTCACTCAACTAGATAAAGAATCCCAATATCCCAATTAGCTGGGGTCTTTGGGTAAGGACAAAGGAAAGTAGCAAAAGAAGATGATAAACATATTCTAGGACCGCACAATCAGACACGGAAAGGAGGTTGCAGCAGCTATGTATGGTTTATCCCTTGCTTGCTATGTGAAATACACAAGTACACACACATGCTTCCTTAATGGCTGCTTAACAACCCAATAAATTGATGAACATTTCCCCTATTCTTGAACTTTTAGGTTTCCTCTGGTCATTTCCTATTACAAATACGGCTATGTTAAGTATGTTTATGTATAAATCTGACCATATTCATAATTAATGCCTTAGAATGTGCCAAAAAGTATAATTGCTAGATATAAAAAAAAGGATCCTCTCGATAGATGTTTAAAATATTTTCTTAAATGTTATAGGAATTCACATTCACCCAGAGGTAATTATCTCACCCCATCTTTCTCAGCATTGAGTCCTACATTTTATTAAAAAAATTACTTGATTTCATAAGCAAAATGTTATATTCTACTGCTGTATACTATTTATGCCTAGCGTTCCATTATTGGAACGCTAAGCATGTGGGAGTTGTTTATATCCTACTGTTCAAGGTCATCGCCAAGTTCTGATTGCAAAAATTCAAAATATTGCAACCTCAAGCATAAGCGCATTAATAAATTTAACTGTGTAGACTTAGACTACAATTTATCAGTAAATTTTTGTTTATGTCTTTTGTTAATCTTTGAGTGATGTTTGTATCATTTTCTTAGCTATTAAAAAAGATATTTATTATTGCTATAAACCCTTTTGACTACAAATAGTTTCAGTTTTTCGCCTCCTGTTTATTACTTGATTTACACATTTTTATTTTATGTAAATTTATCTATCTTTTGTTTTGAAATTCACGTCCTTCTCATCCAAAGAGTAGTAGCCTCTTTCAACAATAGGTAAAAGAGTTACCAAAGTTTAGAAAAATAAGATAAATAGTTTTTATCTCTATCATGATACATCACTTCCACACATTTTATACACACATCTTGTCTTAGTATGAAGGTTCTTAAGGGTTGAGCCTATGCTTTATTCTAAATATTTCTAGAACATATAGAAAGGGCTCAATAAATATTTTGTTAAATGAAACAAAAAAATAGGAATTAGTAAACATGTGCTTTACTTAGTAAACAAAAGCTTTACAAAGACTTTTCAAAACAACTCAAGGCACTGCACATGTATTGCACCTACACATTTTCTTGTTTACATTTGGATGATAAAATTCTATTTCTTATGTACAATCTGAAAAAAACTAATGTTAAACTAAGGGCAGACATTATTCCCTAGGTGCTTCAAAAATAAACTGAATCAACTAGAAAGTTTCTTGCAAAAGATATCTACTATCATATATCATCTTGTGAATCTATTCACTTCTACTTATTTACTTATAATATGCAAGATACCTTGTGAATATTTCATAAGGAAATTCTGTGTATCTACCATGTATTCTTGAAATATTCCACAAAATAAACCAAAGGCATCTCCAAATTGTAGACCATTAGGCAGTATTTTCAGGATCAGCAAGTAACTGTTGGTCTCTTCCCCTTATGGAAACTTCCCTTGGATTTAGGTTATTCACAGCCTTTCAGAGGAAGTTGAATCCCAAACTAAAATTAATGCACTGAATTTGAAAGAACATAGGATATCTTGCTGAGGTCAGAGATGAAATTATGACCACTATTATACAACTTTCCTTTAGGGAAAAAAAACTTCATTTTTTAAACAAATGCCATCACTTTCTCTAGTAATCACAATGACTATTGTCTTCATGTTTATATTTTTGGTCTTTCAGAAGCTGGAGAAAATGACTATTGTATTAAGGGAGGAGACCACCCCTCATATTGTCTTATGCCCAATTTCTGACTCCAAAGAAAGAAGAAGTAAAAACTAAAAGGCAGAAATGAAATCTACAGGCAGACAGCCCGGCGCCATGCCCTGGGCCTGGTTAAAGATCGACCCCTGACCTAAACCAGTTATCTTATCTATAGATTTCAGACATTGTATGGAAAAGCATCGTGAAAATCCCTGTCCTGTTCTGTTCCATTCTGATTACCAGTGCACGCAGCCCCCAGTCACGTACCTCCTGCTTGCTCAATCAATCACAACCCTCTCACAGGGACCCCCTTCGAGTTGTAAGCCCTTAAAAGGGACAGGAATTGCTCACTCGGGAGCTCGGTTTTTGGAGACGTGAGTCTTGCCAAAGCTCCCAGCCAAATAAAGCCCTTCCTTCAACTCAGTGTCTGAGGGGTTTTGTCTGTGGCTTGTCCTGCTACAGAATGAGTATCTTTATGCCCAGTATTACAGCTTTTAATACCATTCTCATGGAGCTACATAAACTCAAAATTTTAGAGAAAATAGCATGATGGATGAAGGTGACTGAACAGCTACCACCTTGCTTGCAAATCAATTGCCCCACTGTTTTATATAAAGAATGGCTGGTTTGAGAGAGGGATGGAAAGTGCCACTTCCACCAGCAAATAAATAGATTCGAGATAGAGAAAAGGGTTCAAATGCTCACTCTTATCTGTGTTTGCCCATGTGTTCCCATTACAAGTTTTAGGGCCTCATTCTTCCCAACCAGTGCCTTAACTTAGCACATGGTTTAAATATATATATTCATATCTGGCCTTGGCCAGGTCTCAGTCACGTCTGCCTTTTCCTTTATGGTTACCATAGGCTTTATTTTTCCCTTCATTTTTGTTGTGAGTTGGGGGTTTAAGATCTTAAGCCATCTTCTTTCTTTCTTAGGGTCCCCAGTGCCAAAGTCTTTCATTCTATCCATAATCTACAATGTATAATTACTACAAGATATCCCAATAGCATGTCCTTTATTCAGTATCATGATCCCCCTTCTGTTTAATGAATTTCTACTCCAGAAGTGAGGTTTGTTCTCCTTCTCATTAATTTGTACTTGTCTAGCATTTGTTGACAATTCCATATAACCTATTCATTGGCTTTCTCTTTCAGGAAATTTTTCTTCCAGAAAAAGAACAAACCCATCTGTGCTATCTTGTTCTTAATCAACCACTGCCATTTCAGAAGATGCATATTCCCTGTTAGAATTTCCAGCTGAATCCTGATCTAGGAGCACTGTCTCAGTAGAAAGGGTCCTTAATTTTCTTATCCTTCTGATATAAGAAAATCATTGTAAGAAGACTTTAATATCATTTATTTGTTATTTTCCTCGGCCTGGAAGTGAGCTGTTTTCTGCTAAACTGCCTACACAGGGTTTCATTTAGAAATGTTTCCACACACATGGAGATACAAAAAACACAGCACAAAACAGTCCTGACAATCAATCTCCAAGTGGTTCTCATAAAGCTACTTTCATGTCTCTTCAAATCTGGGATGAGTAAGAAAAAATAAAATACAAACTATTAAAAAGTTAAAGACATATTTCATTGTAAAGTCAATACAAACTAGCTCTGTGAGCTTCAAGTTAGAAGGAGTAAAAACATACTATAAATTGTATAATATAAAAATTATACAATTTAAGATATAAAAATATAAATTTTATTTCAAAAAATTAATCTCAGATATAATGCTAAGCTTTATGTGGACTGGGAAAAAATAAAACATTTCCTTGCTTTGTTTTAATATATGTACATGACAGATCTTGAAGTTAGCTATTTATCCAGTTTGGAACTCAAATGTTATGTATGCAATGTTGGATAGTACTTTAGTAGGCAAAATCAAATAATTAGCAATCATTCAGTCAACAGATATTTTTTAAATGCCTGCTACCTGCCAGGCATTCTTTTACCAACTAGAACTACATCTTTAACAATGCAGGTAAGAGCTCAGAGTTCATGGAGATGGAGCTCATAAAGCTTACATTCTAGTGAGGAAGACAGACTATGAATAAAGGAACAAAGGAAGAAAAGAAATAAATGAGAATTTCAGATAGTGTGGGTCATGAAGGCGATACACCAAAACAATATAAGAAAATGATGAAAAAATGATTGGCAGGTTTGTAGTAACATCGTTAGCCTATGTTCAAAAAATGTCTTTCAGAAATAACTAATATAGATCTTAAATACTGCCCAAAACACCTCCTGTAGAAACTGGACAATATATGTATTTTTTCTTTTTTATTATACTTTAAGTTCTAGGGTACATGTGCACAACATGCAGGTTTGTTATATATGTATAAATGTGCCATGTTGGTGTGCTGAACCCATTAACTAGTCATTCACATTAGGTGTATCTCCTAACGCTATCCCTCCCCTCTCCCCCCACCCCACAACAGGCCCCGGTGTGTGATGTTCCCAAAAGTCTGCATGAGTTTGGCAGGTCTGTGATCTTTAAGAAAGGGCGATTCCCAAATCTCTTTCACCCAACTTTCTCCCTGAGGGCAAAGAAAGACATACTCCTTCAGTGAAAGAAGCGTAGATCAGAGTTAGGGGCTGCTATGCAGCTGAGATTTGAAGGATAGGTATTAAAGAAGAAAGAACGGGAGAAAAGGACCCTCTAATATAGGCCAAAAGATTTCCCTTTGGGTCTTCGACCACCATCTAAGCTGCGCATGAGTGGGACAGGACTTTAAAAGGACCAGCAGCGAATAGCCTGGGGCTTGGAGAGCTAAGCAGAGATGTAAGATGGCACCTAGTGCCTGCAGAAAGTTAGATTTTAGGCCAGGCGCGGTGGCTCACACGCCTGTAATCCCAGCACTTTGGGAGGCCGAGGCGGGTGGATCACGAGGTCAAGAGATCAAGACCATCCTAGCCAAAATGGTGAAACCCCGTCTCCACTCAACATACAAATATTAACTAGGCATGGTGGCGCACACCTGTAGTGCCAGCTACTCGGAAGGCTGAGGCAGGAGAATCCCTTGAATTCGAGAGGCAGAGGTTGCGGTGAGCCGAGATTGTGTCACTGCACTCCAGGCAGCAACAGAGCGAGACTCCATCACACATTTAAAAAAAAAAAAAAAAAAAAAAGAAGAAAGAAACAAAGTTGGATTTTAGACTCAGGCAGCCAGGAGAGATTTTTATAAACTCCCAGGCTTTGGGCTGAGAGTCCAGAAGGGCCAATCCTAAAAGTCAAGGCTAACCATAAAAATAAGAGCACAAATTTTATGTAAAATTAATTGTTTTGCCAATTTATTTTTTGTCATCAGTGTTAAAGAAGTTTCTCCCTCATTGATGATAGTATAGATATTTGCCTATTTATTCTCCAGTTAGAGGGGGAAAAAAAGATTGTTTTGCTTTGAAAGTTTTTAATCTTTTAAGAAAGTTTATTATAACAAAAAGTAAAATATTATTGTCCATTTTGAGATCAATAGGAAGTAGAATTGTTTTTAACTGTTTAATGGGTCCTAACAGATGATCGGAACCTGGTAGAAATATCCCACCGTTATGGAATAATGCGTCTAGGAGGATGTGAGAGCCATTTGCTCAGGTAATGGTGAATAGAGGCAGGGTCTCCATGTGGTGATACTCAAGGTGCATGCAGAGTAGAGGGAGAAACCAATTTCACAATTGCATTCTTTTGAAGTTTGTGTGGCTCAGTATACCACTTAGGCTATAGTTATTCTAAACTTTGATAAACATGAAATCGTCTATTTGAAAATATGACATGGCTTGAGATAAAATGCAACAATTTTTATTTGTTTAATCCTGGTAGCCCTTCTCTTTACAGGTCACTCATATTCATTACTGATAGGCTTCAGATTTAAAACATTACACCCTCCTCTTACCCACTAATATGGCCTCTCCCAATATCCCACCAGAATGCTTATGAAAATACACTAAAGACAAGAGAATCTATAACATAACTGAAAGTGCAGACTAATAAACATTGGCGATGGCAAAAACAAAGTTAGATAGAAAGTAACCTACCCAATGTAAGTCACAAGGCCTAGCTACATGGTTCTTCAGAAAAGCATCTGTAATGAGGTAAAAAAGGCTCTTTATATCCCATGAGACTCTTTGTAAGAAGCTTCTTTATATCAGAAAGCCAGGGATTATACAGACAGGAAATTCTCACTCCAAATAAACAGATGCATGTTTGAAATTACATGGATATAAAAAAAATACTACAAGCAGCCAAGCAAATAAAAGTGTCTACATATGTTGGAACAATATCTATAGAGTTATCAAAGGAAGGGTTGAGACTAATAAACTGTACATCTAGAGAATATAAAAAGACAAAGGCAGATATTTTCAAGATTCAGGAAATACTCTACTATGGAAACTTTTGTAACTGGATAAGTACTTTGATCTTGTAATGAAGATGACAAATGCATTCAAGAAGGAGAAGTTAGAATATGAAAGGACAGCCAACACTAAAGCTCATTAAACATTAAATCAAAATGACTATTTTCATCTCGTGACTAAATGGAATGAAAATGTTAGAAATGATTTTTCAAAGGGAAAAAAATAAAGAAAATATTTAACCTAAAATTAATAATCTGAATTTGAAAATACAGATTATAAATAAAACCAAACAGTAGGAATGGAGAGGGTTAAGAAACACATGCTGAATTTCTTGTCTTAAAAGTGATGATTCAAAAGTGTATTTTTTTTTTATTCTTGACTGGCAATGAGAAAAATGTAGATTAAAGGAGGTTTTCAGAAATAGCATGTAGACATTCCAAAATACTGAAAACAAAATCAAAGAAAAGGTTTTTTTTTAAGAAAAAAAAAAGGATCAAGGAAATACTAAAACAATAAAAAACTAAAGATGAGTAAAACCAGACAGTTATAAAGTTATATAGAGAGGAATAAATATAAATAAGAGATGAAAGTGTAAATAAATTTTAATCTGGCAACATGATAAATAGGAAACCTAAAAAAAAAATTCTCAATTTATGATTCAAAACTGAAATTCACTGCTGTGAAGTCTCTGGCTGAGTGTAGATTCAGTGGAGGCATTGATTATAACTTTTCAAATACAGGACTTCACATACTTTTGCATATATTATTTGAATTCTTAGTATCAGTTTAGGAAATTCTCTGGAGATTTCTGGATTAGAATTAAAACAAGAAGATAATGGCAATACCAATGCACAAAACTATCAACATATTTGTTCTTAGATTTGAAATTTAAAAGTGAAATTCAAATGTCCCATGAGAAATGGAACTCACTTAGGACTTCTTGGCCAAGATAAGCATTCTAAGAATGGGAGCAATGGTATTTTAGTTAGATACATGTCAAAAGCTTCTCTTAAAATTAAATAGTTGTCTCAAACAGTCCACAAAGCCACTAATCTTTATACAAACTGTATATTCTAAGAAAAAAAAAAAGGATATTTTTTCCAAAAATAAAAATCTTTCAGACCTTTAGTCATTGGCCATTTTAGTGGAAAGTATATTAGTAAAACAATATTTATGCTCATTCTTATCAAACCCTAGACACTCTGGTGATAAACATATGATGGCAGCCTTCACAGTTGTCAACCTCATATTTTCAAGAGAGACAAATATGTTGTTTACTCAATGGCTGTCTTCTGAAAATACTATTATGTTCGTTTTTCAAAGGGAAAAAGCAATTCTGAATGTTGTCATTCAACCAGTTGTACTTAGACTTGCTGGGCTTGTCTAGAATATTATAGAGACAATAGTTCTTATTATATGAATCCTAACTATATGTGCCATCCATCAATAACAATTACTCTGACATCTTGCTTGCAACACACGCTTAATACTTGTCTATGTGACACACACAAGGATGTCCTGAAAGGAATCAGAAGGAAGCACCGCTGCCAGAATTCTCAACAGTATGGCCATATCTGCCTGGAAAAAAATTAAAGTAACCATTTCACAGAAACAAATGTGATCTACATAATAAAAGGAAGCATTTAGAACTCTTAATACTTATTAACACAGGAGAAAGGATTGTCCCTAGGTTTTATTTCCAATTTATGTGTCTTAATTGGTCCCTCACTACACTAGGAGATATGCATGATCATTATTTTTCACTAAAGCTTAGAAAAATTAAGTTTCCCAGAGTCACACATCCAGCAAAACCACTAAGTCAGGACAAAAGAATCTCAGATCTATCTGACCCCAAAAGCTGTAACCTTTAGAACAGTGCTGGGCTTACCTCCTGCCTCTCACACTGATATCTCCTAAGTACAACATTTTAGTTTTTTCGTTTTTGTTTTTTTTCCCCCCACAGCAGTGTCTTTAAGTGAACCTTTGAAGATACTTTGGTGCTATTTTAGTTGTGTCAACTGTACTTTTTTTTTTTTTAACAAATACTTAGAGTTATATTTTAACTATACATTTTTAGACTAGGAATGCATTTTCAGGGCAATCTAAATGATCCTTACTTTATTACTAAAGAGAAAAATGAGGCCATAAAAATAGAAAACTTGCCCATGGTTACTAAGGTAGTCAGTGGTCAGAAAAGAACCCAGTGCTCATGAATCTTACCCAGTCCTTTTTCCGTGAGAGTTTTTGATGAATTGTTAGAAAATGTGTTTCATTTACATGCATTCTAGAACATTCCATCTGCAGTCTGTACATGCCATCCAAACACTTGTTTTTAAAGATGTAAGCATGAACTGAACCATTCCTTTATTCTTTTTTGTTTTTGCTCTGAATCAACATGGGCAATGTAGTATTTAGCTGCCTACAACCCTGATGTCTTTAGGCCTCTGAAAAATTAACATCATGTCAATGATCCCTAAAGTAACCTTTCTCTCAGCATAAAAATGTTTCTTCTGCACCAAAAATGAAACAAAAAATTTATATCATATATAAAGAAATTTGCTGTAATTGTCTTCCTATGAGAAGTTTTGCTTCATTAGTGTGCCAAGGAAGCTGAAATTATTATTATTTTTTTTTTTTTTTTTTTTTTTTTTTTTTTTTGAGACGGAGTCTCGCTCTGTCGCCCAGGCTGGAGTGCAGTGGCGGGATCTCGGCTCACTGCAAGCTCCGCCTCCCGGGTTCACGCCATTCTCCTGCCTCAGCCTCCCAAGTAGCTGGGACTACAGGCGCCCGCCACTACGCCCGGCTAATTTTTTGTATTTTTAGTAGAGACGGGGTTTCACCGTTTTAGCCGGGATGGTCTCGATCTCCTGACCTCGTGATCCGCCCGCCTCGGCCTCCCAAAGTGCTGGGATTACAGGCGTAAGCCACCGCGCCCGGCCCGAAATTATTTAATATTACATGGCAGATAAAATCATAGGGAGAGTTCTTCTTTTAGTAACCACAAAAGCAATTTTTAATAAAAGTACAAACCATGTATGTTGATGTGTTTTCTTCATGACACAGTTCTCTAATACAGGTTTTAATATCCAGATAGTCAGCAAGTATTTAAAAGGACTGTAAAATCTTTACAGTGTAAGTGCAGACTCTAAATATCACTAAAGAGATGAAAATGTGCTGTAAAGATCGTTCTTATTGATAAACATGTATAAAGAAGTTGAAAAGATATTGTGTGTGAACTTAAACAAGAAGTGGTCTCCAGACTTGGTTACTTCTAGAATCACTGATGTAAAAAAAAAAAAAAGAAAAAAAAAAAAGGTCAAGTCCCATTCAGGCTTGCTTCCCTTTGCTGTTATTTGACAGCGAACCCAGGGCCATGGTGCCATTGTTAAAGTTCCATGTGAAATAAGATTTTCCTACAGTGGAACTTCAGTCACTGAAGATTTGTGGAAAACCTCAATGCTTCTCTAGTGATTATAGAAGTGTGGGAAACTTGGTCCCAGTTTTGTCTCTGCCATTTTGGACAAGACACAACTTTAGGAATTTTTTTATTATTTTTTAAATCTCTTCAATCTGTAGCTTGAATAAAAATATTTCCAACACTTTTTGAAAGTCTTTTGTGATAATAAAATAGCTATCAAAGTACCTCGTAAAGCACAAAATAAGAAAGTATTTTTTATCCTCTAAATACAAATTGTAGAAGTATTAATTGCTATAAACCAAGAACGTTAAATATACGTCATGCACTCTGATTTAAACTACCTCTAAAATCTAAAGAAATAATCATATGTGGCCAAAAATATACACATAAGGTCATTGATAGCAAAGTTGCTGGTAATAAATAGCAAAACCAAAAAGCAAATAAATAAATCTGGAAACTAAATTATCAACATTCAAAAAAAAAAAAGATTAAATCCAGTTGTTCAATTATCTAGTGATTAAAACTTATGTCCTTGAAAATTATAGTATTAATGTACATGATATAATAGTAAGAGAAAAGGCAAACCAAAACTGTATTTATAATGCCATTATAACTATGCATAATTATAGAAAGATGTTCATGTGTGTTGGCACAAGTGTGAAGGAACTATAAACATGGTAGCAAATGTTACCTGGTTATCCCTGGGTTATGAAATTGTGGCAGATTTTGCACTTTTTTAACTTTAAGTTCTGGGATACATGTGTAGAATGTGCAAGTTTGTTACATAGGCATATATGTGCCATGGTGGTTTCCTGCATCTATCAATCCGTCATCTAGGTTTTAAGCCCCACATGCACCAGTTATTTGTCCTAATGCTATCCCTCCCCTTGCCCCCATCCCCTGACAGGACCCCATATGTGATGTTCCTCTCCATGTTCCCATGTGTTCTTATTGTTCAACTCCTGCTCATGAGTGAGAATATCTGGTGTTTGGTTTTCTGTTCCTATATTAGTTTGCTGAGAATGACGGCTTCCAGCTTCATCCATATCCCTACAGAGGACATAAACTCATTCTTTTTTATGGCTGCTTAGTATTCCATGATATATATGTGCCACATTTTCTTTATCCAGTCTATCATTGATGGGCATTTGGGTCGGTTCCAAGTCTTTGCTATTGTAAATGGTGCTGTAATAAACATATGTGTTCAGGTGTCTTTATAGTACAATGATTTACAATCCTTTGGGTATATACCCAGTAACAGGATTGCTGGGTCAAATGGTATTTCTGGTTCTAGATCCTTGAGGAATTGCCACACTGTCTTCCACAATGGGTGAACTAATTTACACTCCCAACAGTGTAAAAGCATTCCTATTTCTCCACAGCCTCACCAGCATCTGTTGTCTCCTGACTTTTTAATAATTTCCATTCTAACTGGAGTGAGATGGTATCTCATTGTGGTTTTGCTTTGCATGTCTATAATGACCAGCGATGATGAGCTTTTTCTCACATGTTTCTTGGCCACATAAATGTCTTTTGAGAAATGTCTGTTCATATCCTTTGCCTACTTTCTGATAGGGTTTTTTTTTTTCTTGTAAATTTGTTTGAGTTCCTTGTAGATACTGGTTATTATACCAGAAACTAATCTGTCAGATGGATACATTGCAAATTTTTTTTCCCATTCTGCAGGTTGCTTGTTCACTCTGATGATAGTTTCTTTTGCTTTGCAGAAGCTCTTTTGTTTAATTAGATCCCATTTGTCAAATTTGGCTTCTGCTGCAATTGCTTTTGGTGTTTTAGTCATGAAGTCTTTGCCCATGCCTATGTCCTGAATATTTCCTAGATGTTCTTCTAGGGTTTTTATGGTTTTAGGTTTTACATTTAAATCTTTAATCCATTTCTCGCCACTCCTATTCAACCTAGTATTGGAAGGTCTGGCCAGGGCAATTATGCAAGAGAAAGAAATAAAGGTATTCAAATAGAAAGAGAGGAAGTCAAATTGTCTGTTTGCAGATGACATGATTGTATATTTAGAAAACCCCATTGTCTCAGCCCAAAATCTCCTTAAGCTGATAAACTTCAGCAAAGTTTCTGGATACAAAATCAATGTGCAAAAATCACAAGCATTCCTATACACCAATAATAGACAAGCAGAGAGCCAAAACAAGAGTGAACTCCCATTCACAATTGCCACAAAGAGAATAAAATACTTAGGAATACAACTTACAAGGGATATGAAGGACCACTTCAAGGAGAACTACAAGCCACTGCTCAAGGAAATAAGAGAGGACACAAACGGAAAAACATTCCATGCTCATGGATAGCAAGAATCAATACTGTGAAAATGGCCATACTGCCCAACATAATTTATAGATTCAATGCTATTCCCATCAAGACACCATTGACTTTCTTTGCAGAATTAGAAATAACTACTTTAAATTTCACATGGAACCAAAAAAGAGCCCCTATAGCCAAGACAATCCTAAGCAAAAAGAACAAAGCTGGAGGCATCACCCTACCTGACTTCAAACTATACTACAAGGCTACAGTAACCCAAACAGCATGGTACTGGTACCAAAACAGATATATAGACCAATGGAACATAACAGAGACCTCAGAAATAACACCACACATCTTACAACTGTCTGATTTTTGACAAATCTGACAAAAACAAGCAATAGGGAAATGACTCCCTATGTAATAAATGGTGCTGGGAAAACTGTCTAGCCATATGCAGAAAACAGAAACTGGACCCCTTCCTTATACCTGATTTTGTGTTTTATGTTTTTCTATATTTTTCTACAATAAACTTGCTATACCTTTACAGTCATATATACACCATTAATAAAACTCAGAAAAATTTCACAATTACATGCATTTATGACACTCTGAAGTATCATAAGCACAGTTATAATTATCACTAACCAATGACTCCCAGCTATGTGCCAGGCATTGTGCAAGTTTTATGTATGTTATTTTCTAAAGTCTGTAAGGTAAGTAGTATCAACTTGAAAAAACTCTGTCTCAGGTTAAATATGTTTTCCAAGGACACAGGGTTATTAAATGCCAGAAATTTCACTGAAACTCTCCTTTGTATGATTCCAAAACACATTGATTTAACCACTGCATTTTGTGAAAAATCAAAATAGCAAAGTGTAATTAGCATGTTCCTCTCAATAATTTACTCAGCAAAAATAGAGAATATAGAAAAATAAATTACATAGTTCTTATCTTCAAAGAACTTACAATGTATTACAGGAGAAAATATACAAATAAGCAATATACTCTATGTATACTTATATATTAATATGTATTTTACCTATATATTTCTATACTACACTATACTATGTATAGTATATTAATTATTTAAGTATATTATACATTATATGATATATACTAAATATGCTATGTTTGTGTGTGTGTATATATATATATAAAATATATATAATATATATAAAATATATATAAAATAAATATATATAAAATATATATAAAATATATATATATATAAAATATATATATATATAAAATATATATATAGAAAGAGAAAGCAATGTAGGGTCAGGCAAACATCAGTTGCAATCCTGGTTTTACCATTTAGTTGCAACCTCGGCCAAGTTCCCTAACCTTTCTTCAAAAAGCTTCAGGATCATCTAACAGGATGAGGGTAACAATAACAACACTTAATTCACATGGATGTAAAAGTATTAAATGAAATAACATGCATAAAATGATTAGTATCAGAAACAGAGTGGCTTGGGTAATTGTTGAGGACTTCTTAAAAGTGAATAGGATTTTTGTCTTCCTTTTGCCTTTGAATTTTTTATATTTGTTGTATATTGTTTCTATTCTTGCTGTTTTTAGCATGTGAGAAGTTCTGATGGAATAGTATGAATAGTTATCTGTCTCCTCCCTGCCACTCAAAAGACAACACCAATTAGATAAGATAGGGATTGGGACAGTCACTGTGACCTAATGCAACTGAGGCCCATCTAATCACTAAACATGTGAGTCAGATCGGCAGCAACATTTAGGAACATATTAACAGTTGTAGAGTCAGGTGAAAATCTGAGTTATGGTGAGTCTAGAAGTTTCCAAGTTTGGCCATGTGGAACTCTGAAGCCCAGGGGAGCAGCAGACTGGGAGGATTTTTTTTTCGTCCAAGTTGTTGGTGACAGCATTGGCCACTGATCTCAGGTCCTCGTGTTCAGCAATACACACACACCTAGTAAGACAGAGATGGACTTTACTGTTTTCTACAAGAATCTCATGGCAAGGACACTGCTCTCAACAGGTAAGGGTGACAAGAAGACACATAGGAAAGGAACAGACTATGTGCCTGGTCCTATTTCACCCCTATTGGTGTTTCACAGACAGTATTCTAGGTGTCATGATTACAATGAACCTAAAATCATGGGAAATATAGAAAAATAGATTTTATTATTTAGTGTCTAGAGGGAAAGAGAGCTGATAGTAGCACATATGCTTTAAAAATTAGTTCTTCACCAATACTTTCTTATATTTTAGGGCAAGAAACTCATGTACCAAGCAAAAATGGGTAAATAATCCATGTAATCAAATATTTTCAGATAAATAAGGTTTATTTCTATGTGAAATAAAATATACTTTTGAACTATACTTTTAATTGAATTTTAAAATAAATTATACATATTTCCGTTTACATTTTATCTAGAACCTAGTAAACATAAGTAACGTGGTATATTTTACACAGAAAAAATGTGATAAATTATTTAATTCTAAATTATCATTATAAAATTATCAGTTTCCATGTCAGTTATACCAAGCAGTGAATAGTAATGCCCTCAAAGGTGAGGCACTGTTTCAAATTCTTTATTTCCATACTAAACGGCCTCAGATTGCTCCAGTATATGACTCTTTGTATTTTTTATAACTTTGTTTTATTCCCTCACTACTCAGAGATCAGATTTTACTAGCTCCTGCTTTCCTATTTGTTTTAGCAGTTATTAATCCATGCCTTGAAATTGTCTGCTTCTGATCTAAAACGAGGCCCTTGGCTTTTGAGAAAACAGAGATCAGAGAACATGCAAGAATTTGAAAGGTTTACTGTAGTGCCTGGGATTTACAATACCCATTATTTCCATACCTAAAAAAAAATCTTATTTATGGATTCTCAGTTATTTTCCAAGTGGTTCTAAATGATTAACATGAGTAGTTAGTGACCTCTAAATAAAAAGACTCCATGATGA
This sequence comes from Homo sapiens, assembly GCF_000001405.40. Lineage (NCBI taxonomy): Eukaryota > Metazoa > Chordata > Mammalia > Primates > Hominidae > Homo > Homo sapiens. The sequence continues at coordinate 23,850,171 of NC_000006.12, forward strand.
TGAGGAAAGAACAAAAAGGAAAGGACCGTGATGTGTATATTAGGAACTGAAAAGCCCTTTCAGACTAGCACTAAGGACGTATAAATACCCATCTCTCCAGCTGTATTCCCACACTGATATATAAAAATGAAATAAAACAATGGCCACCCAAACATTAGATTCTACTTCTAAAGATATGTAACTTAAAGTTCCTCCTCTGAGAGCTCTTCCTCTCATCCTATCATTTCACTGTTCTCCAAGCACATGAGCAAAAAGACAGCTCTTGGCAGGCCTTTGTAAATATGTTTCTCCCCATATATTACATCACCCTCCAGGATTTAGCCTGTCTTCAGGTTATAAGAAATATTCTTTGGTGGAATCCCTACAGGTATGGGAAGTAGAAAATTTTTAAAAAACTAAACTTTGAACTGATTCTGAGCAGAAAGGCCCTTCTTGAAATTCTAGAGTCACAAAGCAGTAAAATAATATCCATGCTCCCTGTATTCCAGGGATTAACATGGTACATAAAACACTGCCCAATGATTGGAGTGCATAGTTTTGCCTTCAGTTGTTAGTCTCTCATTTTAAGAAATGGTCAAAGTATATATTACTTTCCGGGCAAGAGTAGAATGTACCTAAAACTCAAAAAAGGAATTTGCCTACAAATATAAAATCTTTCATATTTGACAACCCAAGATTGCTTTAAAAGAACACTAGCTCCCCAAAGTGATTTTTATGCTTATTTAACTGTAGTTTGCAAACAGAAAAGGCACATGTTCTTCACAATGACAGAGCATAGCCCCAGCAAGAGGTCAAGGGCCAGGATTCAACTGAGATGTTCTGAGTCTACACACAGGGGGCTCAATTCTCCCTTCGGTTCATGAACTCATCATGGATTCCAAACTGGATCATAGCCAGTTTTTAATTGCACCCAAATGCAAATCCGATGGGAATGCTATGAAGAAGTCAAAAAGTGATAACGAAGCTCGCTGACCAGTGTAGTAGGGTGAGAAATATTAGATTAAATCTCAAATAACAGAGAGATTAGAGAATATGCAGGTAGTTGATAGGCTAGAAACTTAAAAAGTTCCCAGATTTTAGAAGTTAGTTTCACTAATACTTGAGAGACTTCAGTCATGTCTGACTGAGAACCTATTGCACATTGCAGCTAAATACTCTTTTTAGTAGTTAAAAGCAGCCTAATCTTTCTTGTCTCTTAGTTGCCTTAAAACATCCAAGCAATTTCCAATAATAAAAAAAAAAAAACTTAGCACTGAAGAAGCAAACTACCTCCCCCACTTTATCACAGCTTGCTCTCCCTATCAGAACATTATTGCTGGTATTATTCTGGAATTCTATCTTAGATAATATCTGATTGATGTAGTTCTTTTTATTGAAATACAGAGCACTGATTATAATATACAGATTTCCAAAACCACCTAGGTAATTATAGGCCTGCATAACAAACTCTGTTCTTTATCCTCTCCAAAGGAAGTTTCATTATCCCAGTATTATCTTGCACACAGAGAAAAATTTCCTGAAGGTGACCTTTCTATAGGTGGTAACCATAGTAACAGATTTCCAGTCGCTAACACTCTGACACCACTTGTGCACTGCAAATATTATAGGGATGCTGAGGATTGATGTTGAGGGTTACCCTCCAGAGACAGAAGCTGCATAAATACTTATCAATTTGAGAGAAAGATGTTAAAAGAAATTTAAAGCCATATTCCCTGCTCTCTTGCTAATCAGACAGGAATCTTCCTCCCCTCAAGATCTCAATAATATCTCACTTAGAGAATATCAAGGTAAAAATAAAAGATGTGGATCTTTAAGAGGAACATGGAAAAAGAAAATTTGTTCCTTACATTACTCTTAAGTAGGACATTCAATGGATCAGGGTGAAAGACAAACACTCATTTGGGAGTCTATTCTTTGCTTTGAAGTACTTATGGAGTCCCCATGAGCTATAATGGGAGTTACATGCTCTCATCAATGGAGAACTGGCTTGGCAGTGTAAATCTAGGCAACTGTGGTTTCAGCACTTAATTCAGAAAGAGAAAACTTTCGAGGTACTAGGAAAGTTGGAAGGTACATCTGCTAACTAGAAGTCAGTGAAGAAAATATCAGAAAAGAGAATGAAAGTAGCTGGTCATTACAGGCCATATGAAAATCTAAGTACTCTTGATCCTTAAGTGGTGATTACACATCTTTCATACATAAGTAAAACACTGCACAGAGTCTCTGCTTCCCCCTAAAAAGTGGGTTCACTTAGACAGCTTGTTTCCCTATTTTTAAGAGATTCATTCATATTTTTAATAAGTTCATCTTTGAGCTTGTTGTATACTATTTAAGAACACTGAAATGTCTCATGTCTTTTGAGACATTTATTGATGATGCCAAGTAAATTTGACATTTAATAAAGATCTCTTAAAACCCCAGTTGTTATTCCATTTTTTTGCTACCTCTATACTTCCTGTCTGGGTCTTATTTGGTTTTTGCACTCTCTCAATTTGTCTATATGTTGTCATTTCCATCCTTAAAATTTAGCACAATTCAAGTTTTGCCCATCCTATAATTTATCAAGCTATAACTTGCTTTCTAAACCTTGATCACTATTGTGTCACAGACACTCTGATTTTTTTTTTTTAACTTCTTGCCTTTTAATATTATCTTTGAATATAGATGGTTTCAATTCTCCAGTAACAAGATGTAGAGTGGCCAAATGGTTTTTCATACATGTTTCCCTAGTCCAGACACCCAAGAGTATGTCCCTTTCTTGGGCATAAGAAAACCTAGAGTTATATTTAGGGCATCATGTGTGGTGAATAGTTGACCGAGCTGGCATGCTCACAATGACCAAATTATGTTTGTCATATTTTAATCCAATACATTGATCTACTATGAACTTGTAAATAATGTATTTGCTTTCTAGACACATTCCAGGAAAACTAGAGAAACTGACTTTTATCCATATGGAATAATCCACTGGCCAATTTCTTTTAGGACAGACCAAAGCTGATCTAGGACATAATCTTTACATACTTGGATCCTTCACATCAGACGACAAAGAACATCTGGGGTGAAAGGCTCCATTAGAAGAGCAATGTGGGATGGTGCTGTGCTGACAACTGGTAGTCCCTACCCTACATCTTTGTAGAGGACTGGAGCCCAGAGTATGCCATGGTCAACTTGCATGTTGAAGTGAAGACCTCATTCGAGGTGTGCATGTGCTTATTACAGATATGCCACGGTGCTAAGTACCCCAGGACTACAGGAAAAAATAAGAATTGATGCTTTATCCATGATCATGAGGCACACAGGCCAGAGCGCCAACTGTGGAATTGCACAGCCTGGGTTCAAAGCCTGGCTGGGCCATGACCACCTGAATGACCTGAGGAATGGTCTCAGGCAAATTTGTAAAAAGTAGAGACCCTTCCTGCCAGGGCGGCATGTGGTAAGAGGCGCATCCAGTCAGGTCAGGGCACCGCGTCCTCTCTTTGGAAACCTGCGGAGCGAGGCTGGTGGCCCTTGAGGCCACGGCAGCCATGGAGAAGGCAGGCCTGGCTCCAGGCAGCACAGAGGCACTGGAGAGGCCCCGGGGGAGCCTGGCGGGATCTGGCTGGTCCTGCGCTCTGCTTCCAGGTTCTGGCCCTGTAACCCAGGGGACAGGGCCGGCCAAGACAGGGCCACTGGGTGCCAGCCAGCACCTGGGCCAGGCGCCAGGTGGAAGGGCTCTGGCGGATCAGCCCCGCACCCCTAATAGCCCCACAGGGGGGCCCATCCAGGGCCACACACCTGCCCCCAGGAGCAGGACGTCCCTGAGGCTAGAGTCCAGCTGGAGCGGTGGAAGGGTCTCACCCTTTGCCCTTTGACTCCTCTTGTAGGCACCCTCGCTGGGCTCCTTAGCACTCCTCCACACCCTGGCTCTGTCATCAGCCCCATAGTGATGTCATAAACTCCCAGATGCCCAGTGTGCACCCGGCCACAGAGAAGTGGGTGACTTAGGAGTATCCTCTCCACTTCTGACCCTTAGTTTCGTCTGTGCACAACTCGCTCAAAATGGGCAACTCATTAAGCGTATTTTGTTCCTGGTTCCGCCGCAGGTCCTGGCCACGCCATCGGCAACCTGCTCGTCTTGTCCGTGAGGCCTTCCCAGCTGGCCGGGCTCACCCCGCGGCTCCTGCACCCGTGCCTGCCCGGGGCATCTGGGGCCATTCCCCACTCCTCTTCAACCGTCAGCGACATCTTGGGCCTTCTTTTCCAGTCAGCTGGGACGGCGCCCTTATGAGGCTGTGTCTTATCCCTTGGAACACGGACACCCCACAGAGTCCTGCCTCCTGTAGTCTGGAGCGCCCCCTCAAGGAAGAAACCCGTGCTATCTGCTCGTAACTCCATGATGTTTGGACACCTCAGCCCCGTGAGGAACCCTCGTCTCAGAGGCAAGTTTAACCTTCAACTTCCTTCATTAGATGAGCAGGTGATCCCAACCAGGCTCCCGAAGATGGAGGTGAGGGCAGAAGAGCCCAAAGAAGCAACGGAGGTGAAAGACCAGGTAGAGACCCAGGGGCAGGAGGACAATAAAACGGGCCCCTGTAGCAATGGGAAAGCAGCCTCCACCTCTAGGCCCCTGGAGACTCAGGGAAACCTCACTTCCTCCTGGTACAATCCCAGGCCCTTGGAGGGAAATGTCCACCTCAAGAGCTTGACAGAAAAGAACCAGACTGACAAGGCCCAGGTGCATGCAGTGAGTTTCTACTCCAAGGGCCATGGAGTCACCAGTTCACACAGCCCTGCTGGAGGCATCCTTCCCTTTGGGAAGCCTGACCCACTTCCAGCAGTGCTCCCTGCCCCTGTTCCGGACTGCTCCCTGTGGCCAGAGAAGGCAGCCTTGAAGGTGCTGGGTAAAGACCACCTGCCTAGCTCTCCAGGCTTGCTGATGGTGGGGGAGGACATGCAGCCCAAGGATCCTGCAGCTCTTAGATCAAGTAGGTCTTCTCCACCCAGAGCTGCCGGCCACAGGCCCCGCAAAAGAAAACTGTCGGGGCCACCGCTGCAGCTGCAACAGACCCCTCCCCTGCAACTGAGGTGGGATAGAGACGAGGGGCCCCCACCAGCTAAGCTTCCATGTCTATCTCCTGAGGCACTGTTGGTGGGTAAGGCTTCCCAAAGAGAAGGACGCCTCCAGCAGGGCAACATGCGTAAGAACGTGAGAGTGTTAAGTAGAACATCAAAATTCAGGAGACTAAGACAGCTGCTTAGGAGGAGAAAGAAGAGATGGCAGGGCAGGCGTGGTGGCTCACGCCTGTAATCCAGCACTTTGGGAGGCCCAGGCGGATGGATCAGGAGGTCAAGAGATTAAGACCTGAGGAGCATCTCTGCCTGCACCATCTGGGAAGTGAGGAGCGCCTCTGCCCACCTGCTCCACCGTCTGGGAAGTGAGGAGCACCTCTGCCCAGCTGCCCCACCGTCTGGGCAGTGAAGAGCGCCTCTGCCCGGCCCCCGCCCTGTCTGGGAAGTGACGAGTGCCTCTGCCCAACCGCCTCACAGTCTGGGAAGTGAGAAGCGCCTCTACCCAGGCCCTGCCCCGTCTGGGCAGTGAGGAGTGCCTCTGCCCGGCCCCCTTACACTCTGGGAAGTGAGGAGCGCTTCTGCCTGGCCAGTGCCCTGTCTGGGAAGTGAGAAGCACCTCTGCCCAGCTGCCCACCATCTGGGAATTGAGGAGGAGCACTGCCTCTGCCCAGCCTCCACCCCATCTGGGAAGTGACAAGCAACTCTGCCCGGCCGCCTCACAGTATGGGAAGTGAGGAGCGCCTCTGCCCAGCTGCCGCCCTGTTTGGAAAGTAAGGAGCGCCTCTGCCTCACCGCCGTCCTGTCTGCAAAGTGAGGAGTGCCTCTGCCCGGCCTCCTCACCGTCTGGGAAATGAGGAGCGCCTCTGCCTGGCCACCGTCCCATCTGGGAAGTGAGGAGTGCTTCTGCCCAGCCGCCACCCTGTCTGGAAAGTGAGGAACACCTCTGCCCGGCCCCCTCACTGTTTGTAAGGGAGGAGCACCTCTGCCCAGCCCCTGCACCATCTGGGAAGTGAGGAGCGTCTCTGCCCAGCTGCTGTGCAACCTTCCAAGTGTGAAGTGACGGCCTTGTGTGTGATCTTTCTGCCCTCCCCAAGTTTGCATTTTCGACATTAAAGTTTACTTTTTAGTTAAAAAAAGGAGATCGAGACCATTCTGGCCAACATGGTGAAACTCCGTCTCTACTGAAAATACAAAAATTAGGCGGGCACAGTGGCTTGTGCCTGTAGTCCCAGCTACTCGGGAGGCTGAGGCAGGAGAATGGCTTGAACCCAGGAGGTGGAGGTTGTAGTGAGCCGAGATCACACCACTGCACTCCAGCCTGGTGACAGAGCAAGACTCCATCCTGAAACGATGTTGTAGTTGAGAGCATGATGGTCTTTTGGGACAGGAGGAACAAGAGGTTCTGGTTGCCACTCTTCAATCAGTTCTTCTTTTTCCTTGACTGTAAGGTCAGATCTTTCTTGTAATTTGTAAGTCTTAAAGAAGTCTGATTATCCAGAGTATCAGAATCCCTTCCAAAATAAGATGGTAAGCAGGAGCCTCGTAAAGCGCCTGTACCATCTCCACCAGAACCCACTGCTCCGTGGCAGTCGCCATAGTTAGCCGCTTCCTTCCATACGCTGTCTCATTTCTATCTCACTGTTCAGCTTAGCTGCTGTCCAGACAAATGTTTCTCAAAATTTGAGTCACCTATAGACCCAAGCAAAGGGAAGAAAAAAGAAAAAGACAAAAGAAAAATCTATGCATTTTAGTTTGTGAGATGCTGGTGTAAGGACTGTAAGCCCCATTCGAGGACAATGTCTTGTAAATTTTTAATTATCTCAGCAAAAAAAATTAGAAGTTTTATGTTTTGGAATGGCAAAATAACTGAGATTAATATCACAATGGAGTTCAAATTTTCAAATTCTCATAAAACATATCAACATCCAAGAATATACCTACAGATATACCTGTCTTTGGATCTCAATGTGAGAAACAATAAACCAGGATAAATAGAAGTGTGGGGCCAAGATCAAGAGGAGGGCACAGTAACCTCTGGGTGTTAAGTAGAAAGGACAAACGGCCAATGAGAAAAGGATGGAGATAGCACAAAACTGGGAAGATCTACGATTGTAATCTCATGCCTGTCTCTTGACATGCTTGTATTTTTATGTTACAAACCATCTTTCAACTTTCTTTTATTCTCATTCAAATGTTTTCAGTGTTTATTCAGCACTTATTTCAGTGAGAACATGTATTTAATCTGGCATTCACTTATTCAATTAATTTTTATTGAGGGCCAACTGTGTGCCTGGCTAGGAGTAGAGGGTACAACCATGAAGAAGACAAAAAATCAAAACAGACACAGGGTTTTCTTTTATGGATCCAGTGGGAGAGAAACATATCAGAAAGACAATAAAACAAAAAAAAATGTTTTCTTAAAGAGCATATTTAATTGGTATTAAAAGAAACATTAAAGGAACAATGGGAATATGAGATGCAGGAAACCTAGCCTTGATTCAGGTTTCCTTGAGTCAGGGAATGCTTTCTTGAGGACGTGACATTTATGCATACACTTGAGGGGGTAAATAAGACAGTTGTAAGATTAGAAAAGAAGGGAAGCTTCCCAAGACATAAAATGTTCTATTATAAAGACACATGCATGGGTATGTTCACTGCAGCATTATTTACGATAGCCAAAACATAGAATCAACCTAAATGCCCAACAATAATAGACTGGATAAAGAAAATGTGGCACATATACACCATGGAATACTATGCAGCCATAAAAAAGGATGAGATCATGTCCTTTGCAGGAACATGGATGAAGCTGGAAGCCATTATCCTTAGTAAAGTAACAGAAACAAAAAAACCAATACCGCATGTCCTCATTTTTAAGTGGAAGCTAAATGATAAGAACACATGAACGCACAGAGAGGAACACACACTAGGGCCTATCAGAGGGTGGAAGAGGGAAAAGATCAGGAAAAATCACTAGTGGGTACTAGGCTTAATGCCTGGGTGATGAAATAATCTGTACACCAAACCCCCATGACACAAGTTTACCTATATAACAAACCTGCACATGTACCCCTGAACTTATTTTTTTAAAAAAGAAATGTCAAGAAAGCCAACTGGATCAGAATGTGATGAGCAGAAACAGAAGCACAGGCAAATTTTAAAAGAAGACAGAGGCAAGAGGCAGGGTCCTGTGGGTCCCAATACAGAGTTTTCAAATTATCCTAACTGCAATGGGGAAGTGGATTAAGTCTTTTAACTGGTGAAGACCAGATCAAACTTGGGTTCCAGGAAGGCCCCTTGGCTTCTATGTAGGGTGTTGACATTCAAGGACATCTACCAAGTGGCGCCAAAGTTCCCTCTTAGACTACCTCCCATGTACATAACACCTTTCCCTGGTTGACTACCACTAACTAAACATCCCCAAACCTCCTGCCTCTGTGCCTTTGCACATACTTATTCCCTGCCTATAATGCCTCTTTCCCATTCTCTCCTATTCATAGTCCAGTCATGATTTAGGACCTGTCGCCAGCATGCTTTTCTTCATAAATTCCTTCCATTTGGGTTGACTTTCGCTCTTCTTTTGATTCTCTCTCCTCTTATTCTATGGCACTTTTATATTCTGTTATGTTTTATAATTATTATGTACTTATCTCATTATACAGCTTTTTGAATAGGACGCGATGGCATTTGTGCATCCTCTAGAGCATCTTAGATGTATATTTATACATAAACTCAGATTCACTCAATGTAAAAGAACTTGTTTCTGTCTTTTATGAAGTTTGTTTTACCCTAATTCCTGGTTTTCTGAAGCCTTGTGCCTTTTTATTTTTTTTTTCCCCAAGATGGAGTTTCACTCTTGTTGCCCAGGCTGGAGTTCAACAGTGTGATCTCGGCTCACTGCAACTTCTGCCTCCCAGGTTCAAGTGATTCTCCTGCCTCAGCCTCCGGAGTAGCTAGGATTACAGGTGCCCACCACCATGTCCGGCTAATTTTTTTGTATTTTTAGTAGAGACGGGGTTTCACCATGGCTGGTCTCGAACTTCTGACCTCAGGTAATCCACCCGCCTCAGCCTCCCAAAGTGCTGGGATTACAGGGGTGAGCCCCAGGCCAGCCTCGTGCTTTTAAGTTACTTTGAAACTGTCATCTTCCCCTTCTTGTAATCCCAAATGTCTTCTTCAATCAACTTTAATGACCTCATTTCAAAATACTTTGGGTTTTTGTTATCGTTATTGTTCATTTGCCTAATAGGCCTTCTCTCAGTTTCCTCAGATATCCTGTGTATGTGCCGAACTAATGTCATTTCTGACATTCTTTGCTAGAGACCCTAATTCTGTCCTCCTGACTTCCATCCCTCTAAGATGTCTCTTGTCCACTGGAGCAGCTCCTCTGTGGAGGTGGTATCCTACCTCACCACTTGTCACCACCCATATCCTGTCTTACCGTGTGCGTGAGTCTCCCACTCCTATTTCACTTACACTCCCTTTGAGCTTTCCAATTAATCAGACATCATTTTTGCCAAGGCTACTCTTTATCTTCTCGCTTTTTCTTCTGAATCTCCCTTCTAATTTTTCACCCTATTCCCCTTTTCTCTCAATCATTTACTTCACTATTAAATGTCGCTAATGTTCCAATTTTTAAAACTTAGGGAAATTTACCACTTTATCACTAAAAACAACAACAAAAAAATGCTTCTTGACATAGCTTGGTAGAATTAGGGTTAGTGTACAGAGAAATCTTTCCATTTAGCCTCTGAGTCCCTTCAATTCTGAGGCTTTAACTGCTTAGCCCAATGGGGATGATGCCATATAATCCTTTACATCTGATCTATGAAGAAGGCCAAATGTCTTTCTGAAGTCACGCCATGATTTCAGGTAGTTGTCACTGCCCAGTTCCGAGAGTTTGGTTTGGAACTCATAACTGCTACCACAATCATACAAAGACGGAGAAAAAGTACTCTCTCCAATGGCTTCCCTTTACTGAATTATGAAAACTGAATGTTTATCCTGGCTTCAATGACAAAAGGGAGAACCATCAGAATCTTGCAATACTTGAGAGAGTTAGAAATTCATCACAAAATAAAATTTGACATTTCACTTCTGGAAAAATGAAATAGATATATTTTCCTTATTTATCCCACTAGGTACAACTAAAACTTTAGACATGATATATATAAAACTAACATTTTTGAAAAACCCTCAAAGTTGGAGAAAAGAAAGCCTGACTGGCTATAGAACTTGGGACCGAAGGAACAACAACAAAAAAAAATCTGTAAAAGTATCAAACTTCTAGCAAGACTGAAAACAAAACATAAATTACAAAAATTGGGAGTGAAACAGGAGCTATCACTATAGACACAAGAGACTACAAAGGAATAGTAAAAATACCAATAACTCTCTCTATATAAATTTGATATCTTAGATGTAATGAACCAATTCCTCAAACACAAACTATCACAATTTACTTAATATAAAATAGTTCATTTCAATAGCCCTATAACTAATAAGGAAATTACATAAATAATTTTGAAACTCCTAAAAAAGACACTACCAAGCCCAGATGGTTTCACTGGATACTTCTTTGTAAAGCATAACACTAATTCTACACAATCTCTTCCACATAGAAGAGGGAATACTCCCCAGTTCATTATATGAACCTAGAATTTCTGTACCCCATAATGAGACAAAATACAAAAAGTGAAAATGATAAACCAATAGCCTTCAAGAATATAGGCGCAATATTTTTAACCAAAAAATATCAAATAGACTTTGTAACATATATATAGAAAAATATACACTAGAGCTAAGAGTGGTTTATTCCAGACATGTAAGGTTAGCTTAATATTTGAAACAAATCAGTGAAATCCACTATATTAACAAAATAAAGGGTAAAATTCATGAGATTGATCAATACAGAAAAGGCATTTAATAAAATTCAGCACTTATTCATGATAAAAACTCTCAAAAAACGGAAACACCCTTAGCTTGATAAAGATCACTTCCAAAAGAAAAAAAAAAACATCTAATAGTAACATTATTCTTTTTTTTTTTTTTTTTTTTTTTGAGATAGAGTCTTGCTCTGTCACCCAGGCTGGAGTGCAGCGGTGCTATTTTGTCTCACTGCAATCTCTCCTCCCCTGGGTTCAAGTGATTCTCCTGCCTCAGCCTCCCCAGTAGCTGGGATTCAGGCATGTACCACCACACCCGACTAATTTTTGTATTTTTAGTAGAGATGGGGTTTCGCCATGTTGGCCAGGCTGGTCTCGAACTCCTAACCTCAGGTGATCTGCCCGTCTCAGCCTCCCAAAGTTCTGAGATGACAGGCATGAGCCACCCCGCCTGGCCAATAACATTATTCTTAATGAGGAAAAACTTAAGCCCTTACCCAAATAGAGAATAAAGCAAGGATGTCCATTCTCATCACACTTATTCAATAGTGCTGAAAGGGAAGGAGATTAAGATGGCAGATAGGAGGCAGTACTAGCTTGCAGCTCCCACTCGGATGAACAGAACAGCATGTGGAGACTCATATAGTGAACTTTGGCTCCAAGAACTACCACAGGAACATACACCAGGAAAGCTAAGAGAATCCACAGACCCTTTGAAGGAAGTGGATCACCAGTACAGTTCCTTGAGATGCCAAAAAACTGAATTTGCTTGTTTTCTCAATGGGGAGGTTCATGGTCTGGGGTAAGTTCTCAACTCTGGGCACCAGTTGCCTGGAAATAGACTCAGTGCTGTTGTGGGGGCACAGTGGGAGTTCCTCTAGGACTGCAGGCTGGGTGGGAGTGGGGTGAGGCCTGTGACTGCTGGAATTCCCCCATTTTCCTGGCTACCTGTATGACTCAGCAGAGGCAACCATAATCTCCCTGGGAATATAACTCTAATAGACTGGGAACCACATTCCCATCCTCCACAGCAGCCACAACAAGTCCAGCTCATGAAGCGGCTGAGCTCGGACACCCCTATCCCTGTTCCCACCTGATGGTCTTTCTCAACCCGCCCTGATAGCTGACGACAAAGGTCATAATGTCTTGGGAGCTCTATGGCCCTGCCTGAGAAACCTGAATGCTTAACCAGGTATCCCTAGAGCAAGTTTGCATTCTCCTTACAGGACCGTAACTGATGCACTCTTGAAAGCACCACCTCCTGGCTAGAGGGCAACCAACACAAAACCAGTGCACTAGACAAAAAACAACCAAAGACCTTCACAGGGTCCACTTCACTCCCCTGCTACCTCCACCAGAGCAGGTGCTGGTATCCACAGCTGCAAGACCTGAAGACAGATCACATCACAGGACTCCTTGCAGACCCTTCCCAGTACCAGCTCAGAGCCCAGTAGTTCTGCTGGGTGGCTAGACCCAGAAGAGCATAAACAATCACTACAGTTCAGCTCTCAGGAAACCCCATTCCTAGAGGAAAACGGAGAACATTGCATCAAGGAAGGACCCTGTGGGACAAAAGAATCCTAACAGCAGCCCTTGAATTCCAGATCTTCCCTCTGACATAGTCTACCCAAGTGAGAATGAACCAGAAAAACAACTCTGGTAATATGACAAAACAAGGTTCTTTAACATCCCCAAAAGATCGTACTAGCTCACCAGCAATGGATCAAAATCAAGACAAAATCTCTGAATTGCCAGAAAAAGAATTCAGAAGGTCAATTATTAAGCTAATCAAGTAGTCACTAGAGAAAGGTAAAGTTCAAATTAAAGAATCAAAAACATGATACAGGATATGAAAGGAAAATGCTTCAGTAAAATAGAATAAAAAACAATCATAACTTCTGGAAATCAAGGACACACTTAGAGAAATGCAAAATCCACTGGAAAGTCTCAGCAATAGAATTGAACAAGCAGAAGAAAGTACTTCAGAGCTCAAAGAGAAGGTTTTCAAATTAACCCAATCTGTCAAAGACAAAAAGGAAAGAATTTCAAAAAAAATAAAGCCTCCAAGATGTTTGGGACTATTTTAAAATGTCCAAACCTAAGAATGGTGTTCCTGAGGAAGAAGATAAATCTAAAAGTTCAGAAAACATATTTGAGAATATAATCAAGGAAAACTTATCTGGACTTGCTAGAGATCTAGATCTCCAAATACAAGAAGCTCAAAGAACACCTGGGAATTCATCACATAAAGATCATTGCCTAGGCACATAGTCATCAGGTTATCTAAAGTCAAGATGAAGGAAAGAATCTTAAGAGCTGTGAGGCAAAAGGTAGAGGTAAACTATAAAGAGAAACCTATCAGAGTAACAGAGTTCTCAGCAGAAACCCCACAAGATAGAAGAGACTGGGGACTTATTTTTAGCCTCCTTAAACAATTACCAGCCAAGAATTTTGTATACAGTGAAACTAAGCTTCATAAGTCAAGAAAAGATAGTCTTTTCCAGACAGACAAATACTGAAAGAATTCACAACTACCAAGCCAATACTACCAACACTGCTAAAAGGAGCTCTAAATCTTGAAAGAAATCCTTGAAATATACCAAAATAGAACCTCCTTAAAGCATACATCTCACAGGACCTATAAATCAATAACACAATGGAAAAAAAGGTATTCAGGCAACAAATAGCACAATGAATAGAATAGTACCTCACATCTCAATACTCACATTGAATGTAAATGGCCTAAACACTCCACTTAAAAGATGCTTAATGGCAGAATTGATAAAAACTCACCAACCAAGTTTCTGCTGTCTTTAGGAGACTCACTTAACACATAAGGACTCACATAAGCTTAAGGTAAAGGGGTGGAAAAGATATTCCATGCAAATGGACACAGAAAGTGAGCAGGAGTAGCTATTCTTGTATCAGACAAAACTTCAAAGCAACAGCGGTTTAAAAAGACAAAGAGGGATATTATATAATGACAAAAGGACTAGTCCAACAGGAAAATATCACAGTTCTAAGTATGTATGCCCCTAACACTGAAGCTTTCAAATTTATAAAGCAGTTACTACTGGGCCTAAGCAATGAGAGAGACAGCAACACAATAATAGCGGGGGATTTTAATACTCCACTGACAGCACTAAACACATCATCAAGAAAGAAAGTCAATAAAGAAACAATGAACCTAAGCTATACCCTACAACAAATGGAATGAAGATTTATTTACGAAACATTCTACCCAACAACTGCAGAATATACATTCTATTCATCAGCACATGGAACACTCTCTAAGACAGGCCATATGATAGGCCACAAAATGAGTCTCAGTAAATTTAAGAAAATTAAAATTATATCCAGTACTCTCTCAGACCACAGTGGAATAAAATTGGACATCAATTCCAAAAGAAACCCTCAAAAACATGCAAATACATGGAAATTAAATGCCTGTTCCTGAATAATTGTTGGGTCAACAATGAAATCAAGACAGAAATTTAAAAATTACTTGAACTGAATGATAATAGTGACACAACTTATCAAAACCTCTAGGATATATCAAAAGCGGTGCCAAGAGGAAAGTTAACTGCATTAAATGCCTACATCAAAAAGTAGGCACAAATAGACAATCTAAGGTCACACCTCACAGAACTGGAGAAACAAGAGCAATCAAAACCCAGCATAAGAAAAAAAGAATGACAATCAGAGCAGAACTAAATGAAATTAAAAACATACAAAAGAAATGAATCAAAAAGCTAGTTCTCTGAAAAAAATAAATAAAATTTATAGACTATAATCAAGAATAACCAGGAAAGGAGAAAAGATCCAAATAAGCTCAAATAGAAATGAAATGGGAGCCATTACTACTGATACCACAGAAATACAAAAGATTATTCAAGGATACTACAAACACCTTCAAGTGCAAAAACTAGAAAACCTAAAGGAGATGGATAAATTCCTGGGAATATACAACCCTTCTAGATTAAACCAGGAAGATATAGAATCTCTGAACAGACCAATAACAAGCAGTGAGATTGAAATGTTAATTCAAAAATTACCAGCAACAAAAAAAGACCAGGACCAGATAGATTCACAGTTGAATTCTATCAGTCATTCAAAAAAGAATTGGTACCAATCCTACTGACACCATTCCACAAGATAAAGAGGAAATCCTCCCTAAATCATTCTATGAAGCTAGTATCACCCTAATACCAAAACCAGAGAATGACATAACAAGTGAAGAAAACTAGGCTGGGTGCAGTAGCTCATGCCTGTAATCCCAGCACTTTGGGAGGCCAAGGTGGGCGGATCACAAGGTCAGGAGTTCAAGACCAGCCTGGCCAACATAGTGAAACCCCGTCTCCACTAAAGTACAAAAAAAAAATTTGCTAGGCCTGGTGGCAGGTGCCTGTAGTCCCAGCTACTTGGGAGGCTGAGGCAGGAGAATCACTTGAACCAGGGAGGCAGAGGTTGCAGTGAGCTGAGATCACGCCACTGCACTCCAGCCTGGGTGACACAGTGAGACTCTGTCTCAAAAAAAAAAAAAAAGAAAGAAAAAAACAAAGCTACAGACCAATACCCCTGATGAACATAGATGCAAAACTCCTCAGCAAAATACTAGAAAACTGAATCCAACAGCATATCAAGAAAGATAAGCCACCGTGATCAAGTGTGTTTCATACCAGGGATGCAGGCATGGTTTAACATATGTAAGTCAGTAATTGTCATAGACTGCATAAACAGAATTAAAAACAAAAATTACAGTCATCTCAATAGACACAGAAAAAGCATTTGACAATATCCAGCATCCCTACATGATTAAAACCCTCAGCAAACTTGGCATAGAAGGGGCATACCTTAACATAATACAAGTCATCTATGACAAACCCACAGCCAACATTATACTGAATGGGGAGAAGTTGAAAGCATTGCCCCTGAAAACTGGAACAATACAAGGATGCCCACTCTCACTACTTCTATTCAACATACTATACTGGGAGTCCTAGCCAGAGCAATTATGGAAGAGAAAGAAATAAAGGGCATCCAAATTGCTAAAGAGGTAGTCAAACTCACTGTTTGCTGATGTTATGATCATATACCTAAAAAATCCTAAAGACTCATCCAAAAAGCTCCTAGAACTAGTAAATGAATTCAGCAAAGTTTCTGGATACAAAATTAATGTACACAAATCAGTAGCTCTGCTATACACCAAAAGCAATGAAGCTGCAAATCAAATCAAGAACTCAGTCCCTTCCACAATAGATACAAAAAAATAAAGTAAAATACTTAGGAATATACTTAACTAAGGATGTGAAGAACCACTATGCGGAAAACTACAAAACACTACTGAAAGAAGTCACAGACAACACAAACAAATGGAAACACATTCTATGCTCATGGATGGGTAGAATCAGTACTGTGAAAATGACCATACTGCCAAAAGCAATCTACAAATTCAATGCAATTCTCATCAACACACCACCATCATTTTTCACAGAACTAAAAAAAATCCTAAAATTCATATGGAACCAAAAAAGAACCCACATAGCCAAAGCAAGACTAAGCAAAAAGAACAACTCTGGAGACAACACATTCCCTGACCTCAAACTATACTGTAAGGCCACAATCACCCAAACAGCATGGCTCTAGTATAAAAATAGGCACATAGACCAATGGAACAGAGTAGAGAACCCAGAAATACTTACAGCCAACTGATCTTTGACAAAGCAAACAAAAACATGAAGTGGGGAAATGACACCCTATTCAACAAAAGATGCTGGGATAATTGGCAAGCCACCTGTAGAAGAATGAAACTGGATCCTCGTCTCTCATCTTATACAAAAATCAACTCAAAATTGATCGAAGACTTAAATATAAGACCTGAAACCATAAAGATTCCAGAAGATAATATCAGAAAAATCCTTTTAGACATTGACTTAGGCAAAGACTTCATGACCACTAATCCAAAAGCAAATGCAACAAAAACAAACAGATGAAACTTAATCTAAAAAGCTCTCCCACAGCAAAAGAAATCAGCAGAGTTAGATGACCCACAGAGTGGGAGAAAATGCTCACAATCTATGTATCCAACAAAAGGCTAATATCCAGAAGCTCCAAAGAACTCAAATCAGCAAGAAAAAACAAACAATCCCATCAAAAAGTGGGTTAAGGACACCATTAACATCATTAATTATCAGGGAACGCGAATCAATTGCTCAACATCATTAATTACCAGGGAATGCGAATCAAAACCGTGATGCAATACCACCTCATTCCTGCAAGAATTCTCATAATAAAAAAAAATTAAAAAAAATAGATGTTGGCTTGGATGAGGTGAAAAGGGAACACTTTTAAATTGTCAGTGGGAATGTAAACTAGTACAACCACTATGAAAAACAGTGTGGAGATTCCTTAAAAAACTAAAAGTAGATCTACAATTTGATATAGCAATGTCACTCTTGGGTATCTACCCATAGGAAAATAAGTCATTACACGAAAAAGATACTTGCACAGGCATGTTTATAGCAGCATGATTTGTAATTGCAAACATGAAACTAGCCCAAATCCCCATCAAATAATGAGTGGATAAAGAAAATGTGGTATATGCATACCATGGAATATGACTCGGCCATTAAAAAAGAATGAAATAATGGCATTCACAGCAACCTGGATAGAATTGGAGACTATTATTCTAAGTGAAGTAATGCAGGAATCGAAAACCAAACATCACACGTTCTCACTGATATGTGGGAGCTAAGCTACGGGGATGCAAAGGCATAAGAATGACACATTGGACTTTGGGGACTTGGGGGAAAGTGTGCAGGGTGGCGAGGGATAGAAGACTACACACTGGGTATAGTGTAGTCTGCTTGCGTGATGGATGCACCAAAATCTCAGAATTCACCACTAAAGAACGTATTCACGTAACTAAACACCACCTGTTCCCCAAAAACCTATTGAAATAAAAAAATAAAATTAAAAATTTCAAAACAAAAATAGTTATATGCAAAAAAAAATAGTGTTCTAAGCTCTAGACAGCCCAGTAAGGCAAGAAAAGGAAATGAAAGGTATACCAATTGGAAAAAAAAAAAAAGATAAAACTGACTTTATTTGCAGATAACAATTGCCTCCATAAAAGATACCAACGAAAAACTTCTAGAATTAGTAAGTTTAATAAGATCACAGGAGATGAAATAAACATACAAAAATCAATGAAATTTCAGTATACTAGTATAAACACATGGACACAAAAGTTAAAAACGTACTGCCAAGTAGTAATTTAAAAATTAAATACTTAGTTGTAACTAATAAAAATGTAGACTGTTTACATGCTAATAATTACACTGCATTGATGAAAGCTATTATAGTCTAAAATGGAGAGGCTTACCATGTTCGTGGATTGTTAAGACTTAATATAAAAAATATTTTCTTTCTAAATTGATAAACAAGCTTTAGGCAATTCATATATAAATGACAGTAACATTTTTGTAGAAATAGACAAAATTAAAAATTTATGTGGAAAAATAGAGGAACAAGAATAGCTAAAACAAATGTGAAAAAGGATAAAGTGGGAAAAATCAGTGTGTCAGATTTAAAGATTTCCTATACCATTATAGCAATTGAAAGATTATGTGGCATTGGCAGAAAAAGAGACACATAGACCAGCGGAACAGAATAAAAACCCATAAATACCACCATCAAATATGTATGACTTATTTTTGACAAATCCACAAATACAATTCAAGGGAGAAAATGTAGCCTTTTCAAAAAATGATGCTTTAGCAATTGGCTATTCAGAGACATAAAAATCAAATCTTTGCCTAAGTCTCACATCTCATACACAAATTAACTCAAAATAGCCTACAAACAAATATAAAACTTTAAGATGAAAACACAGGATAAAATCTTTGGGATCTAGGCTAAGCAAAGCATTCTTAAACTCTTTTGAAAACAGAACCACGATCTAATAAACTGGACTTTGTCAACATGAAAAGCTTTTTCTCTAAAAAAGAACCTGTTGAGACAAAATGACAAGCTACAGGCTACGAGAAAATATTTGCAAACCACATATTTGACAAAGGATTCGCATCTAGAGTATATAAAGAATTCTGAAAACTCAACAATTTTAAGAAATTGTTAGAATGTGGGCAGAAGACATGAAGTTATATTTACTGAATATATACAGATAGAAAACACACTGAAAGATGTTCAATATCACTGGCCATTAGGGGAATGCAAATTAAAATTCTAATTTGATACCAATACACACTACTAGAGTGACTACAATGAAAAATAATGACAAAAACAAATGCTTGCAAGGCAATGGAGAAATACATAAATTGTTGGTAAGAATGTAAAATAGTACAGTCCCTCTGGAAAACAGTTTGGCAGTTTGTTAAAAACTAAGCAAGTGATATCACACAACCAAGCAATTGCACTCCTAGGCATTTATCCCAGAGAAATGATAACTTATGTTCACATAAAAACCTAGACACAGATATTTATATCAGCATTATTTCTAATAGCCCCAAACTGGAAACAACCCAGATGTCCCTCAATGGATAATTAAACGATGGTACATCTATACCATGGAATAACGTTTAGCAATAAAATGGAAGTAATTACTAATACATGTAGTAACCTGGATTAATGTTTGGAAAATTATGCTGTGTGGGGAAAAAAGCCCATCCCAAAAGTTTAAATATTATATGATTCTTGAATCATGTAAGATTTTTATAACATTCTTGAAGTGGAAAATGATGGAAATTGACAACAGATTAGTGTTTGCTAGTGGTTAAGAAAGGATTAGATGTGGGAAATAGGTAGATGTGGCTATAAAAGGGAAACAGGGGCTGGGTGCAGTGGTTCACGCCTGTAATCTCAGCACTTTGGGAGGCCGAGGCAGGCAGATCACCTGAGGCCAGGAGTTCGAGACCAGCCTGGCCAACATGGTGAAACCCTGTCTCTACTAAAAATGCAAAAATTATCTGGGCATGGTAGCAGGCACCTGTAATCCCAGCTACTCAGGAGGCTGAGGCAGGAGAATCGCTTGAACCCAGGAGGCAGATGTTGCAGTGAGCCGAGATCACGCCACTGCACTTCAGCCTGGGCAACAGAGTGAGACTCCGTCTCAAAATAAAACAAACCTTTAAAAGGATGTTTTTTCCTTGATCCGAATTTTGTGGGGGAAAATTTTTTTAAACACCTGTAAATCTAATACTTAAACTATTTGAGAAAGAATCCTATTTTATGATCTATGCAAGGATAAAGGGCTTCTCAAAGCAACAAAACACTATGACACTATGTTATTAGGTAACTGTCCCAAAACACCTCTTTCATTTTGATCTTCATTATCTGTTTTTCCACTTTTAACACCTCAGTGAGAAACATTTATCTGGACCCATATGCCTGCTCATATGGAGATTTTAGGAAGAAAAAGATTTAAAAAAAAAAAAAAAAGTCTATGTCAATTCAGTATCATATCTTCAATCCCCAAACACCATCTTCTTTAGAAAGCTTATTAGCTTATTATTTTTCATGAAAGCTGAAAGCACATTATGGAGCTATCTATTGTCAGCTAAGAATTTCCACCAGATTTTGACTTTGGAGGCCTAAGAGTTACCATAGTTACTAATTAACTCCTGTGTCCTGAATGCATTAGACACAGCAGAGAGACTGTTTACATTATGTAAAGTACTTTTGTTCTAAATAAATTAAGAGAATATGCTAGATGCATTAAATCTTATTGCAAAATACCATCAACTCATCTTTCATTAAATTCTTTATTGAAGATTTTGAATCTAAGCCCCAGAATTAACACAGATTTAACTTCTACCTTTGACTAGCTTAGCCTAAAACACAGCTAAAATATTGCCTGTCTTTGTTGTTTTAAAATGTCAAATTGTCATAACCACAACTTATGCTTTTCTGAACCCAGAGTCATGTTCCTAGATAATTAAATATCAAAGTAGTTACTATTAAAAATATTTAAACATAAGTTATATTTTCTAAATTATTTTATTGAAACTATTTTAAAACCTATATGAAAATTATAATAGTACATTTTTCTAAAAGGCAACTTGTAGTTTCTAGCTGTATAGTATTTAAGACAATATGAAACAATGAAGCTTGTATTTTTTCTAATCTTTATCTATTGAATTTTCACATCAATTTATCTGAAATCATAAAATTAATTTGTTTTTTGAA
Source organism: Homo sapiens (assembly GCF_000001405.40). Taxonomy (NCBI): domain Eukaryota; kingdom Metazoa; phylum Chordata; class Mammalia; order Primates; family Hominidae; genus Homo; species Homo sapiens. Next base: position 23,871,311 of record NC_000006.12, read on the forward strand.
TTTTACCTGTGTAGAAATTTGAAATGTTCATATGTATAGTATAAAAATAGTTGCCAGAAATAAAAATACAAAGAATTTTTTATCCTTGGAATAGTTATTCCAGTTTCTTAGGTTAAAAACCTAAGAAAAAAATCCTAGATAAACAAATAACTGTTGAAGAGGAAATAATTTTACGTTAATTTTTGCCCACATCTTATCCAGATTTGGTTAATAAATTGTCCAAATAATCATATGTTTTAATCATATGGCTGTAATGTAAGTCAGAAAAAAATAAAAATGGATTAATGGTTTAGTTCCTGATATGTATCTTGTAAAAGAAGTTTTACCACCATCTCTGAGTAATATAAATTTCACATGCTTAGATTAAGACGAACAACAACAAGAGACATTTACTAGACAGAAACAACTGTGGACCTCTTCACCTAGATGTCTCACAGTGACTTAGAGGCACCTCACATCCACACAATCACCACTCATTATCTTTCCCATTACACCTCTTCCTCTTGCGGTGTTCCCTTATCAATCTATTAGACTTAGCCTACCCATTCAAGCCAGCGACTAAAACATCTTCTATCTAACCACTCCTCTCACACAGAGACACACACATACAGATATACACAAGCACACACACCAGAGATACATATGTGCACACATGCAGACACAGATACAGAGACACAATACATAGACGCAAACACATGGAGCTAGAGACTGACACACATATGCAACACAGATACACAGAACTACAAACACACACATACACACAGATATACACATATGGAGCTACAGACACAGACATACGTAGACACAGAGACACACAGAGATACAGACACAGATACACACATGTACACATACATGCAGAGCTACAGGCACACATACCACACAGAGCTACATACACACACATACAGCTACACACATACACAGACACAGATACACACAAAGCTGCACACACACACACACACACACAGATACACACGGACACACCTGTCACAAATGCCTTAAAGCTTTTTATGTCACTTCTCTCCATTTCCTGCTCTGTCATAGTTCAAGCTTTCTTCTCTCTCTCATTCTAGTAAGATGACTTCCTAACTATTCTCCCTACCTTCAGATTTGTTCTTCATAAACTTAATCTTCATATTATTGTTAGGTCTTTTTCTAAACCAAAAAAAATACATCCCATTTTACTTCTCTGCTTAACATCCTTCCATGAGGCCATTATCCTAAGCAAACTAACCCAGGAACAGAAAACCAAATACTACATGCTCTCGCTTATAAGTGGGAACTAAACACTGAGTGCCCATGGACACAAATAACGGAATAACAGACCCTGGGGCCTACTTGAGGGTAGAGGGTGGGAGGAGGGTGAGGATCAAAAAAACCACACATTGGGTGCTACGATTACCTGGGTGATGAAATAATCTGTATACCAAATCCTCATGACATTCAACTCACCAATGTAACAAACCTGCACATGCACCCTTGAACCTAAAATAATTATTTTTTTCAAAATCCCTGTTCATTAGTGCATTCCTGACAGCAATGCTTACCTAGGCCTATCCGGCTCTACGTGTACAACTGCTGGGCATATGGTAAACCAGACACTAGTGGGCCCTCCTTGTCCTCAGACATGTTAAGTGTGTTCCCACAGAGCCTCCCTCCGTGCCTGATCTCCCTTTGCTGCAGCCCCTTACACACAAGTCCACTGCTCTAGGCCCCCAGCAACCAGCCCCCATGCTCAATAAGAGTCAGGTGATTGATAAGATTTTGATGATGACTCCAAGAAGAAAGACACATAGTAAATAGAGGTGAGAGATGAAAACAGGTAAGTCATAGCACATACTTCAAAAAGAGGCATAAATTAAGTGATGCAGGAGTTTAAAAGAAAAAGTAGAGCCTAACCCAAAGGAGCTTCTTTCCAAAGCCACGGGTAATTCTAATGCCTAGAGGTCTTAGGAAAGCCTCAGAAGAATCTCTGATCTATAAGACTGAAAGCCTTGTAATAAAACAAATGGCCCTTTATTCTCTAATGTCTCTACATCATCCCTTTCCACTGTCTTCCATTCAACCAAGAACCCATGCAATCTGATTCACATGCCCCAAAGCCAGTGCTTTCTCCTGACCTCACTTTGCACACACCACTTGGATTCCCAGCCTCTGTTCCTTACCCCTTATGTAGCCAGAGATTCCCTTTTTCTCTTCAAGACTCAGTTTGAATGTCAGCTGTCTATTGAAGACTTCCCTGATCACTACCTTCACCCAAACCACATGCCACAGGAATAAACACTAGGCCACTTCTTCTGTACTGTTTTACATATAAAATCGGCTTTTCAAATACATAGTGGGATTCAAAGTTAGTGAAGTTATGAGGAGACAGGGACTCACTGCTCATGGGAGTATAAATTGGTATGATCTCACTGGAAGACAATTTGACAACGTCTCATACAAAATCAATGTGCTTGTTGGTTTTGCTCCTTTCTCTTGAATTCTTAAAAGCATGATCAGTGAGATTACACACACACACACGCACACACATATGGATGTTATTTCAGCACCACTAATATTAAAAATTGGAAATAACCCAAATAACTCTACAAAAATATTTAAATAAATTATGATAAAATGGGGGGGGGGGGGCAGGAAGCCAGAGAATGCTTAATTGCATGGAGGAAGTATCATTAACATGATATTAAATAAACCAATGTAAAACTGAATTTTTAAATATTAAAATACGCATATTAAAAAGTGAAATAAAATATATCAAAATACTATAATGGTTATCTCTGAATAACAAGGTTGTGGATAAATTGTATCTTTTCTCTTGCTATATTGTCCAATGACTATGTATTAGATTTAATAAAAGATGGCATAGTATATTTTAAAATAAATGTATTGCATCAGTAGATTGCTTGGCTGAACAAATTCATTCATTCATCTATCCATTTATCTATTGTTGAAAAAGATCATTCGAGTGGTTTTGCGCAGACATAACCTTAGCTGCACCTTGTTTCTTCCCCAAAATCACTGAAATGAACAGTGCCAGAGACTTCAATTCAGGCTTTCAGCCAGAGAAAGATCATCTCCAGATAGAATGCTTTCAGAAATTGGACACACAGTAATACAGAAATGTGAGCTCTCATAAATGAATGCACATTGCATAGACTTTGAAAGCTTGCCCTACCATAGAAGTGGCATTGTTACTGCTAATGACCTTCAGAAAACAAGATATTCACTATATCCAGGTCATACTGACATTTTACTTATTACTGGAAAATCATTTTCAAAGAGCCACTGGAAAGTCATAGAAAAATTTTAATAAAATCTATGTAGAACCAATTTTCCTTAACTCTTATTAATCTTTTTTCTATTTTACCTTGTTTATTATTCTTAGGGACATTGTGAGATTGAGGTTGGTATGTTTACAGCACAGAAGAGGATGCTACAAAGTCCCTTGAGAGCAAATCTTGTGTAAGAAATTTTTCCATTTGATATCCGGAGCTCTTGAGCTGTATAATTAGTATAATATCCTATTCCATTACCCTATTGATAGAAGAGTCATAAAGATTACTGAATTACAAAAATGAATGAGATATAGGGAAGATTTGTCATATAATTCCTTTTAAGAATTTTACAGATAACCATGTTATAATAATTATGCTAGAAAAAGAAAAGGTAGCATTGTCAACCTCATATAGAGCATGACTTCTGTGGAGTTTCCAGAAGCTATTAATCTGAGAATATATTTTTTGAAGTGCTGAACTTTTAGTCACTTGGATGCAAAGAGGTTTCAAGAACTATCGCTGCTTTGAATGGAACTGTAGTTTCTTTTGCCTTGAGGCCATCAGCAAGTGCCTACATCCATACCCTAGATACAGGGATCTTGAAGAAAAGCTGCCAACAATGTGCACAGAAGAATTTGTTGCTAAAAAGCAGCAGAGCTGTCAACTGGTTTCAATGACAGCTCCATTATCACACTGATTGATTGTAAAAAGGAGAAAAAAGGAGCAAGAAAAAAAACTCTCATCCCTTTACTGGCTGAGCAACTTCTAAACAGAATTCTTCAGTAAGCTTACCAAGAGGCAAAACAATAACTTTCTAAGTCTTGGTGTAACTTATAAAGAAACTGAAATCCCTGCATTTTTCAGCGTTTTCTCATTTAATGACAGTTGAATTTTTTTTTATTGCTCCAGACCTTATTTTCTTTTGCTAGTTGTCATTTTTGTAGGTAATGCACTGATCTGCAGCGACTGAGGAAGAAAAAAAATTCACACAATTCTTGTCCGTCTGTGGCCAACAAGTCTCATAAATCTTCAGACCGATTTCCAGACTAAAGGAGTCTGTTTCCCAAGGATTTATTTTCCAGTAATGAAGCCTCAAGTCAGCTTCTGTGAAGGAACATAGACCAGAGGAGGAAGAGCATGGCTCATTTCTTCCTAGTTGTGTGGTGCCTCTGAAGATGCCTGCCCAAACTTTGGTAAAGCTGAAATGCACACTACCCTGGGTCCCTGACCTTGAGGAATGAGTCTAAAGAGTAAAGCGAGAAACATAGTAGTCAAAACTGAAGACTGCAACATTTGCTTGCTGTGTGACTTATGGTTGTTCACTCACCTTCTCTGTTCATATCTCCTCATGTATAAAATAAAAGAGATGTTCTTGCTGAATGTTTTCCAAACTCAATAGGAGAGTGTGTCAAATAGCAAATTCTAATTCCTGAATCCCGTTGAGTTCTTTCAGAATAGTAAATCTCCACGTACTGGAAAAAGTGTTATGAAAAGCAGGATGGCAGCCCTGCAGTCAGCCGGTACCAAAGGAAGAAACATGTGGTTTTCCTTTTTTGAGAATGTTCTGAGAACTGACACTTTAACCAGAGATAAGTAAAGGTGAAGTCAAAGGATTTTAATTTTATTAATCACAAATGAGACATCAGCAAAGCTGCAGGTTAGAGAGGAGCAAAAGAGAGCACACACTGGCCCTGTCACTTTAAAATTCCGAAGTTCCTTATGTGGGAAAAGAGAATCTTACTAGACCTTGAGCTTTAAGAGGTTTTTTAATTGAAGAAAATATTTATCCATGGGCAAAAGATTGCTTCCTTTACTATACACACACACACACACACACACACACACACACACACCACACACCCCATCTTGAACAGGCACTTTCCCATACATATGGTACAACTCATATTTCATTCTAGGGATACCTACTATGTGACAATGTGTTCGGGGGCCATGAGTGGCAGCTCATGCCTGTAGTCTCAACACTTTAGGAGGCCGAGGTGGGAGGGTCACTTAGTTCAGGAGCTCGCGAGCCAGCCTGGGCAACATGGTGAGCTCCTGTCTCTAAATATAAATATATAAATATATGTATGTGTGTGTGTGGACATATATATATATATATATATCTCCAGGATCACAGTCTTATGCAGATCAGAGATGACAATCTCTAAAACTTGTCTAGTTTTTCCTATTACAGCATCCATGGAAGACACTACTAGATAGTCAGAGAAAGTATGATCAGCCATCTACTGTCAATGGTCCAAATTGGCACCAAGTTGAAACCCATTTTCAATCCCTATTATAAACAAAAGAGCCCCGGCTTTTAGGTCAGAGGACCTGATTTCTAATGCTGACTGTATAATGCTTTGGCCAGCCTATCAATTCCCCAGGCCTCCTTGGCATTTCTGGTAAAAAAGACATTTTAACTAGGTACCCTCCAAGGCTACTATCAGCTTAATGATTTGTAATTCTAATATACACAGATGGTTTTTTAATTGCCCTACTAGAAAATCCATCTCCACTACTATTATGTTTGTTAACATTAATGTATGATATTACACAACTATCATGTAGTTTTTGGCCCACATAACACCACTGCCACCACAAAAACAACCCTTTCAGACAAGCCAATATATTAAAATTCACTAGCCATCTATAACCCACCCCATTTGCATGAGTTAATCAGATTCTTTCTAATTGAAGAGCAAGTCTACACTTCTTTTGCACATTCTCTTTTGTTTTACTAATTACAAATGTAATGCAATCAATTATTTTAACTACAACATCAGAAATTACCATGTATTTATAGAAATCCTGGTCATCAGGAGATTTCTTTCAGAAGATTCTGGAATCTTTATTTTCTAATGACTATCCCCATCTTCCATAATTTTGTACTTATTCCCACTTCTCTGAAAGTATTAGTAACTGGCAGAGAAAGGAATAGTAGAGCCCATCTCCAATAGCACACTTGATTGGATTTTGGTATTTCAGTGATAGAGTATTTCATTATTGGTACTGTTCTTTATCTCCATGGATAAACTAAAAACAAATCCTATTTTTTATTACATAAAAGAATAAAATATAGCACAATGAAAGGAGAGCAATTTTAGATTTAAAGGAGTGTGTGTCTCAGGAAAAAATATAAGAAAAACACCTCTGATTGCCAATTCAATCCCAAAAAGGGTAATGAATTAATCAAGAAAATTAAATCATGGACATGATTACCCAGTCTTACCTTCAGTAGGGAATCCGCCTAGAAATAAGGAAATCATATTCCTTGCCATATGATATTGGACAAGTTGTTTCACCACTGAAGCCTACTGCGTGTATTTCAAAATGAGGAGGATATTGTCACCTAATCTATAAAAGTCTGTAAGAGTATGAAGATATGTAACCTCACATTTAATATTATATAATCATTACATATAGTTGCACATTAAATTGATCTCTTTCTCAGTCTGGAAAAATAGATGATTTTACAGCTTAGATATTTATGATCTGAAACACCCCACCCCTTTATGTGATGTGAAATAATTGATTTGTTCTATTATGTATAAATAATCAAAAATTATAATTGTATCTGTTTCTTATGGCTGCCATAGCAGACTTTACAGTTACAACAAATAATCTACTCCCTCACAGTTCTGGAGTGCATAAGTCTGAAATTAAGGTTTCAGTAGGGTTGTTTCTTTCCTGGAGGTTCAGAAACAGAATCTGTCTCTTACTTCTCTCCTAGCGCCTGTTTTGGCAATCTTTGGTATTCTTTGGCTTACAGCAGCATTCTCCAATTCCTAGTTCTATTATCACATGGCATTCTTCCTGTGTGTCTGTGGATCTGTCTCTTATTTTATGTCTACAGTAACAAAAATCTTTTTTTTTTTTTTTTTTTTTTTTTTTTTTTTTTTTAAAGACAGTCTCACTCTGTCGGCCAGGCTGGAGTGCAGTGGCATGATCTCGGCTCACTGCAACCTCTGTCTCCCAGGCTCAAGCAATTCTCCTGCCTCAGCCTCCCGAGTAGCTGGGATTACTGGTGTGTGCCACCATGTCCAGCTAATTTTTGTATTTTTAGTAGAGCCGAGGGTTTCACCATATTGGCCAGGCTGGTCTCAAACTCCTGACCTCAGGTACTCTGCCCGCCTCAGCCTCCCAAAGTGCTGGGATTACAGGCGTAAGCCACCGCGCCTGGCCAACAAAAATCTTATATTCAGATTAGACAGCTAACCTGAGTTGCTACAGCTAATAATTAGGGAAGCCTGGACTCAAGCCCTAATGTGTATTACTGCAAAATTCATATTTTAACCCCCAATAAGAACAGCTTTGTACTTATCCAGTCACTGACAATTTCCAGTGTAGCAAAAGAGAATAGAGTATATTCTGAAAATAGAAGACAATGGCAATTTAACCATTTTAACTTTAACTTGCCTAACAATTATGTTGCAATGATGTGGATTCAATTAAAATATACTCAAATTGCTTCCATTTTGAAATATTAAAACCAGAAAATGGGATATGGGTTACTATGGATACGATGAGTAAAACCTACCTTTGCAAGCAAACATCATGGAAGCTATTAGTCCAAGAATAGACTTTAAGCTCCATGAGTACAAGAGACTATGTCTAGGTAGTTTACCACCATGGCTTCAGGTTCTGGCACCACATCATCAGGTCTTCCACATACTAGGTAAACAGCTAACATTCCAAGAGACCTCACCGGGGGGCCAGATACTGTAATAAATACTTTTTTAACATTATTTCATTTCATCTCTACGTGAATGCTGTGAGGTCTATTATCTCCATTTATGCATTAGGAAACAGACTTAGAAAAAGTAAAGTCAAATCCAAGGTAATAAAGTTTGTGAATGGTTCTACAGGAATATCAAACCATAGCTTAATAAATTACTAATCTTCACTTTTGGGATAATATAAAGGACAATGCACATTCACTAGCTGCCTAGACAAACCCCTAGCATCTATGTAATTAACTTCTTCCAGAATAGTTGGAAATCTTGATTATAACGGTAATCATTGACAACTTCCTAGTATCATCATTGAGAGTGACAATCAATAGAAAGCTAATGGCTTTGGACCTAGACTTTTCTCCTCAGAGCCATCAGCCCAGCAGGCAACCCGTGAAGTCCAGATACTATTCACAAAAGCATTTTGAATTAAGAGAATTATTAACCTAGAAAATATAACCAAAATTGTAGATTGTGCTTTATCAGAAAGGACACTTTTGAGAGTTATCAAGCAAACAATTAAATTCTTTCAGCTTTACCAGGTGCAAGCGTATGGCTTTCTGAGCAAACTGATTCCTCATATTTGGGATGCATGCCTTGAGAAGGTTGTTTAAAAACAGAAATACAAGAACAATTGATCACATCAGTAATCCTGATGATTATACAACAGATGGTAGCCTCTTAACACAGACAGACCAAATAGCATGCCACATGTCCCCCAGATCATCTTAAATGGAGCAGAACTAGCTACCACAAAGAGAGGCTGTGATGTTCCGCAAGTATGATCAGAGCAGCATTCGTTTCCAACAGTTCACATCCAGTCCCTCATCCACACTTTCAGCTAAAAAAAAGCCACACCATCTATGCTATGTTTAATGATGAATAAATCCTCTCTATTCCATAGAGCCACTGATTATATACATCCCTTCGAAGTATCACTGTATTTGTAGCTAGGAATTACATAATCATAATAAAATGTATTGATTACCATGCACTTACTGCATTCTGTGCACACAGTATTATGTACTGTGCTAAGAGTTCTACATATATTATCCCATTTAATCTTCAAAACAACACAGTGATGTTAATGCAATTACAATCCCATTTTACAGAAAAGGAAAGTGAAAATTTCATTGGTTAAATTACTTGCACAAAATCAAACTCAAGCCTCTCTTACACCCTTTCATTTGCTCTTAAGCACTATACTCTGCTTTATTTATCTGGCAGAGACTTCAGTAATAGATAATTCTGGAGTCAGAGGAGTGGCACAGAGCAAACTCTGCAACCTCGACATCAAACAACTCTTGGGTCAGACAGAGCTAGTGACAGGAAACAGTATTCAGCCCAGATGAAGAGATGTAAATGAAAAGACTGCTTACAGAGGTGTTGGCAGTGTTAATGCATGACAGAAAGAAGGGTGAGGCTTCCCAAGATTACCAATAGAGGAAATCAAGGGAAAAACATTATTGGGCCAATGGAAACAAACCACAGAAGAGTTGTAGCTGTATAACGTCAAGGCACTAGAGCGAAGAGAAAATAGGGAAAAAATCTCTTTCACTCTCTCTCTCGCCCCCTAGCCTCTTCTATCTCTCCTCCCTTTTCCAATATTTGCCAGTACTTCTCATTGGCAGACTCAACTGAAAGGCATTCAGGCCAGGCACAGTGCCTTATGCCTGTAATCCCAACACTTTGGAGGCCAAGGCGGGGGGATCACTTGAGGTCAGGAGTTCAAGACCAGCCTGGCCGACATGGTGAAACCATGTCTCTACTAAAAATACAAAAAAAAAAAAAAAAAAAAAAGTATCTGGGCATGGTGGCAGGTGCCTGTAATCCCAACTATTCAGGAGGCTGAGGCACAAGAATCACTTGAACCCAGGAGGTAGAGGTTGCAGTGAGCAGAGATCATGCCACTGCACTCTAGCCTAGGCAATAGAGCAAGACTCAGTCTGAAAAAAGAGAAGAAAAAAAAAGAAAAAAGAAAGGCATTCAGCAAAGGAGCCAAGAGGAGATAGTCTTCAAGCCACAGTGTCAGAGAGATCATGCTCCTACCTCTATGCTGAGACTTAATGTCAAGGTTGGATATCTAAACTAACCTGATAGATATTCAAAACATTTATCACTTTACAGTTTGTGGCCTTCATACTTTGACCTACTGCTCTACACAGTTTCTTTCTCCTTAGATACACTCTTATGTTAACCAGATGTCACAGATTAGCCCTATTCTATAGAGGCGCAAAACCTCTTTGTGGTGGGACGAAATGAAGAACGTCTTGAAAATGATACCCTATAGTCATCAAGCTGTATTCTTCCTGATAAAGCTTTTCATGAATTCCCTATTTCCAATGTGGATAGCATAAGCTCATTCATTTTTCAAGTTTCAGAAAACCCAGTAATCTAGGTCTACAAAAATGATATATGGGATATAATGATATAATCAGAGCCAAAAGATGGAGACTATGTGGAAATAAAGATGTATAAGGACGTATGGGTTGGTGAAGGCTGACAGGCAGAAATTAGTTATAAGCAGGCTAAAGAAAATGATTCTTATCAATTGTGACATGATCAAGAATGTGTCCCTGGATACCCATGGAGACAGGGATAAGCTACAGAGATAGAGATAAGCCAAAAGACAGTGACAAAGGAATGGTTTAAGAATCGTTCTACCAAGATTCAAGTCAGTTAATATTTAAATAATGTTCTCGTTTTCAGGAGACTTAAAACTAATTCAAATCAGTACTTACTCTTTTGCTTAGCATTTCTAACTTTTCAAATTAACAGAAGCAATAAAGCAGTCCCTGGGACAGGTAGTCAATTAAGTAGTGTGTTTGTAGAATATTCTCAACAGTAATCGATTAAGAAAAAACAATGTCACTATCTCATTGTGTGAGGCTTTTCTTTTTTAATCCCGAGAATGACCCTAAATAAGTTTTCATTGGTAAGCGGAGAAGCACTGTACATGAAGCAACAAAATTGGGTAAATAAACAAAGCAAAGTAAATTGCTATTTGTAATGTTACTTATTTCATTAGTCTAACACCTTTAAGGGAACACTAAGAGCCATGCGTTGAAATTACACATGCCAATTTGGCCATTTTCTATGATCCATTAGGCTTTCTTCAATAGAAAATTAATTATGTTGCCATTCCATAATTCTCTCCTGAAACTTTATGCAGGTGTCAAGAATGCATTTGACACAATTTAGGGCCCCATAATGCCTTTAACTAAAACATTTAGAACAGGGTGCATAAATGGGGAATTGCTATGGATTGAAATGCATATAAATAAATGAAAGTGGCAACTTTTGAGAAACAAAACATTAAACATACTTCAGGGAACTTATAGCATGGCTTTTCCAAGAATGTATTTTTGGTGCTTTGCTTTATTTCTGTATTTAGATTTGCCTTTTTGATATTAAGATCTTGTCTTACAGGTCTTTGAAAGAAAAGTGAAGACTACAGTGACAAATGCTTTTTCCTGAGGTCCTATAGAAAATCTTCAGCAATGTCATTGATTCCTCCCACGTCACATAATTCATGCTTATGTTTTATCAACTATCTCAGTAAAACATATCAACTTTTAATTTTTAAAATTATCATTCACAATCTCATGTCTTTCCTTTTGTACTTATATTCTGATATAAAGCCTGTACATTCAAGTCAAGACTGCTAAAGGAAAAAAAAAACTTAGAAATTTGTTCTCTGCTATAAAAGTTAAGTTTGAAATGTAGCATGATTTTCCAACTGCAATTGATCTGCCACATATGAGGATTGTCAGAAAAATGCCCCCCAATTTTATGGTTACACTCTCCTCAGATCTTTGTATTGACAAGCTGTAAAACAGTCCAAATTTTCTTTAAAAATGTGGATTTTTTCAACCCAGTATTACTTTAAAAGGCCTTGGCTAAAAATTGTGATGTCAGATATGGAGAGTGTTTAATGTTTTGTGAAGCAATGTGATAGGTATTGCCTCATCACATCTTTACAGCAATCTGATGAGACAGAAAAGGCAGAAAGTATGATCCCATTTTGCAGTACAGGGAGCTGAGGTTTAAAGAGGTTAATGACTTGTCCATTTACTCAATCAGATTTTGATGGAAAGGATACCAGACAAACATGAAACACCTAATTTTTGTTCCTTGACTTCCTGGGAGTATGGAGCTTAATTTAGAGGAGTAAAGGACTCCAAACACCCCAGCTTTCTTGGATCATGAAGAAACTCAATACTAGAGCCCTATACAATGATCACCTCTATCTCCTTAGGCAAAGCATAGTAAGGAACCCTTTTGGGAGTGTACATCCCAGGAACTCAGCCAGCCATGAAGTCTGCTACTGGTTAATTCCTTTGCTTTTTAAATCCACTTGTGGACTTTAAGGTAGAATTCTAAGTTTTCTGAGTTTTATCTCCGGTTGGGCCATGGACATGCTATCTTATCCTGGAAAATGAACTTGACTCCCCTTCTTAACTAGCTGCATGCAAATTGGGTATAATGAGAAAGATCTCTCAGGAGTGGCACACACATCCTTTTATAATTTCTACATTCCATCAATTCAGAGGAAAATGCTATGTCAAATACAAATTAGGATTAGTTTAGATGCCAGCAAATCTTAAGCAAGCAGGGTAGGTGGAGATATTGATCAATAATGACTTCTTCAAAAAATAAATGGCATCAAGTATCTGTAACACTGGAAAATACATTTCAAAGACTGACACCAGCATGTAGTCTTTCCACTGGGAATATAAATGTATAATGATGAAAAAAATTCAGAGTTGTGCTCATTTTGTTTAAAAACAAAACAAAACTTCAAAACACTCCAGAAAAAAAATCAAGCAAGATTTCAAAGAATATTTCAACTGACCAAGTAGATGCTTCCTGCTTGCCTTGGCTGACCATTTCATTTAGTCATTACCATCTCTTCCTATTATCTTCTCTACTCCAACAATTATTTGTCCAATGAAACAATCTGTACTACACATCAGATAAAAGTATTTGGCTGCCCTGCGTTTTGTCTCATTCTAGGTGGGCAAAGTTATTAAAAAAGATAATTTAATATGTCAAGAATAGAGTTCATTTCCAACAGGTTCTGAAGGTGTTGCAGACCCCCTCCACCAGCAATAGAGTGTGAATGATTTTTCTGTAGACCACAGGGAATGATTTATGAATGATGCCTGCAGAAAAGACCAGCACCGTTCTCCTAATTAATCAAATTCCAAAGCACCTTAACAAAAGATGCCATTCTGGTCATTGGAAGCTCATTAGCTGAAAATGACCCCTACTTTTCCAATAGCCTTAAAAGAAACCATATAATGAAAATAATCTATCAGCTAGGAAGTGGTGAGTGCTATCTCTTAGTGATACAGCAAACCCAGTGGTATGTTTAATATAAATAAAGTCCACCAAATTTGCATAATTCGTGAAGGAATTTTAATGTATGTTTGTAAAACAAGAAACGACCTTCCCCCAAAAGGTACTAAAACTAAATAGCTGGTTTCAAGTGACTCCTCACCTTGTTTACCAGTTCTGAGAAGTATTTTTTCTTTCTCTTTGTTTTAAAAATGAATTTCACTGTGTTGAAACAATGTAGATAGTCTTTTTGGTATATTGTGTTTATCATAACAAAACCCAATCCATACCATTGTTTGGTAAGCTGGGAGATACAATTCATCAATGAAGATAGCAAAGGAAATGCTACTGAGAAATATTCAGCAGAGCTACCCACACAGCAAACCTTTACTATGCCTCCACTTCCAATCTGGTTTAACGTTGAATATTTTACTGCATACACTCTTTCTTCTTTTGGCCTCAGATACAATAAACGGATGCATCATCACGATCTCAAATAACCCAAGGAACACCAGTGGAGAACACAGGGTCCGTTAGTGATCATTACTAAAATGCATCCAAAATCAAAAGAGATATCTCCAAAATTCTTGATATGGAAGGGAGGAGGTATGGTACAAGTAACTTATGTAAGAAGCAGCTCACAGAGGGTTGGCTGTGAAGTGGCAATGAAGGGCTGAACAGCAAAGTGAGCATCCTTGAAGACCACAATGATGGACTTCATGAACATTGCAATGATCATGCCCCCTGGGCTACTTTTAGCAATGATGTCAGATAAGCTCAAACCTTCACCCCTCCTTCCACAGTGAGTACCTCTGTGAGTAGAGCAACTAAAAGTACCTTTGGAAATCTACAGGAATGAACTGAATTTCAAACTGTTCCTAGGCAATAATCGTATCTTTTGTGCTATGTCCTGTGATAATTAAACAATTCCCCACTGGCATCGCATTGAGCTAATATGCTCCTTTACCCATAGGCCACTAAAGCCTTATATTAACCATCCAGTAATGTGACGGCTTTGCCCTCCTACTGTCACAATTATTTTTAATATGCCAGGTAAGATGAACCCATTATGATAATGTCTTATCTCGGACTTTCCCCAAACAATTCATAGTGCTTCCAAATATCTTACCTCAAAGCCTCCCCACATTCCTTCAGGAAAGATAGGTAGAGTTGCTGCCATTCCCAATTTACATCAAAGTAAATGGGGGTCTTGGCTGATTAGGGCTGATCCAACTATTCTGACAGCATTACCTGAGTCAGTTCAATAGACACAGCATTTGAATTAAGTCGTATCATCCACATCAGATCTATATGATTGCTGTGGGTAAGCCAAGAGCCCTCAGTCCTGGTGAAGAGACATGACAGTGTCATCATCAGTTGTAAAGCATGCTGCAAAGATATTTGTTACTCATGAGAATTAAAATGTGAGAAAGCATAAATGATTGTCTCTTTTCATTCATTGTAGCAGGCTCAAATTTCTCTCTTAAATGACCTTGTCACACATCTAATATCTGATCTCTCCCCTAGAAAGAAAAGGGTGGTATTAAATCTGGCCCAAAGGGAATTTACAGATCATACATATTCAATTATCAACAGCAACTTTTATATGGCTGAAGACTAGAGAAAAGGTTAAAAAAATCTTCAATTCAAACTTGTTAGGCTGGATTTGCCTATTTACAGGACTAAAACAGCCCATTGTTTATGTGAAACATCCCAAACTTTATTGCGATTCCTATTGGCTTTGCCACAAGCCAAGGTAAAATCCCAGAGATAGCTGGTGATTTGCCCAAGGTCATAGGATGACCACACAGTGCAACCCAAGTGAAGGAAAATTCCTTCACAGGGGTAGAATAGGATACTACTTCTCAGCTTGGGGCCTGGAGCTAAATTGCTTGGACTTAAATCTAACTATTACTTATTAGCTGTATAACTTAAGCATGCTACTTTGCATTTCTATACCTCAGTTTCCATGTCTGTAAATTGGGCTAATAAAATCATTTTTGGTTTTATGGAGGTTAATCAAGTGAGCATTTGTAAAGTGATATACAATATCTAAGCTCATAGTACACACTCAATAAAGTCAAATAAACTTACTATTATTTCTGAACCTAGTTAGTCATTAGAACCACCAAGGACCTTTTAAGACTGTTTTCCTGTCCCACTCATATTTACAAAACGACTGCATCAGGCGTATCCCAAGAAACTTAATTTATAAAAGCTCTCCAGTGAGTTCAGAGATCAACTGAATTTTAGCTCTAACAAACCCTAATAATTATCTTAGAGTTACAAACTTCTCAGAAACAATTTATAGAAGGAAACAAAAATGTTTGCTTTCATAGATATTACTTCACCAGTTTGCTTTTATTTAAATATACTCACACATCTAGCAAATCTAATTTATGTTAATTATTCACCACTATTGTTTATTGCAATAATTTCCATTTAACAATAAGAAATTACTTTCAATGAGCATGTGTCTTATTGAAGCTTAAACACAGTTGATACAGGTGGGGTGGTGGGGAAGCAAAACAGCAGAAGAGAAGCCTACCATATGAATATCCCCCACCAGGAACACCCAATTTTAACAATTATCTGCACACAGAAAAGCACCATTACAAGAACCAAAAATCAAGTAAGCAATTCACAGAAGTGTTTTAACTTCACCTCCTTGAAAGGAGCATTGAGAGGGGTCAGAGAGAGCACCTTGAATCACTGCCACCATCCATCCCCTTCTGCCCCAGCAGCAGCCGCACAGCACGGGGAGTCTGTGCACTTTGGGGAAGGAAAGCACAATGACTGGGGACTTTACATGGAACTCACTGCTGCCTCATCATAGCAGATGTATGGGTAATTACCTACATTACCTACAATGAGCCACATGTCTAAGGCTGTGCAGATGGAGGACATGGCTGCTGAATCTGAGGACTTACAGTCTGGTAGGGAAGACAGAAGGTAACCAAAGAGTGATTATACTCTCAGCATACATACAGAGTGCCGTGGGCACAGCCAGGACCATCTAGTTCAGTCTGGGGGCAAGTTATGGAAGGTAATTTGGAGATGATTGAGCTGCATCCTTAAACATAAAGAAGACTTAGCTGATTATAAGTGTGTATACCAATTTGTCTAAAATACTTCGAGCAGAGTGTGCTCATAGGATATTTACAAGAGAGAATGCTGGAGAGGCAGGCAGGGGCCATATACTTTGTTACTGTTAATATATTTGAACTTTTTCCCAAATATTTAGGAAGCCATTAAAGATCTTCAAGCAGGGGTAATAACACATGCATTTGAGGGGTAAAAATTTAAGATAATGAAGAAAATAAATGACCAGGTTGGAGGCATGCAGCAAAATGGAACAGAGAGCACTCTAAAGAGTCAATGGCAGTAGCACATGTAAGGAATGATAAGGGCAGGCATTAAGTCAATGGTGTCGAAACATAGCATCCTTAGTGATTATACTGTTGGTTTACTTTAATTAAAACTATCAGTGAATTTACAAATATGTGGGTCAATATGAGAATGTATTAAAAACACCTCATTTCGTATATAATTGATGTATACTCAAAAAAGAAAAGTTTAGAATTTTGTCCATAGAACAGTATGTTGGAGAAAATAAGGCCTTATGTAACCAAACCAAGAAAAAAATATAGTATGGTGCTATCCCTAGTCATCCACATTGCCACACTTTGTAATGAATTTCTCTGTACAACAAATTCAGTGCTGCAGTTGATACCATCAGTGCAAGTAAACAAATATGTTTAGCAGCGTTAAATGTAATTGTACTTTGTTTTTTAAGTCAGACTAGAAATGGAAATGACTTTTTGCAAAGTTTAACAATATTAACATCCTACCACAAATTGCATATATTTTTAACTGAAAATCTTGACAAATTTTACCATTCTTAACGATTTGAGAATTTAAGAATTTTTCACCAATATTCACAATAAACATTTATCGCACTATATAAACCACAAATTTTAAGGTAGATAATGAAGAAGAAGAAAAATTAACTTGTCCGTTTTGTAAACCAAGTTGGAAAATGGTGGCATCTACAGGAATTTTTAAGAAACAAATATATTTTTCATAATTACTTTCAATTATTTGATGTTAAGTATTCTGTCATACATATTTTAATCATCTCTTATTTCTTGTGACTATTAGTATTCATATTGTCTTCTTTAGGTCATCTTAATATAATAAATCAAAAAATGATTTGTCCACCCTGAACTCTATTTCAACCCATAACTACAGGTGACATACAGTTAAATACGACTGGAATTTTCTTTCTTCCCATTTCTTTATTCGCAGACATTTTAAATGTCAAACGTTGGCACTCCGCAACTCCACCAAGTCACCTGTTTACCAAGCAAAGCTAAGTTTATTAGCCTTATTGCAGTAAGGGAGAACCCCATCTTTACTGAGTAATGTCTCAGAAAGTTCAGGTCAGGGACACAGTTTCATGGGATCTGAGCACACAAGGTAGAAGGCAAGTCTTTCAATGTGGGCTTCTGATTAGGATTAAGCTAAATCTATGATGTAATAGTTAGGATTGATGAACGCAATGAAATGAGGATCTTGAAAGGAGCCTTCATATGGAAACAGTTGTTTGTTAAGTCAGCTATTTGCCCAGGTGAGCAATCTAGTATCCTGTGTACACACTGTTTAACCAGATGAGCAAAGTATTTGCTCAGATAAATTGGTTGTCAGGAGTTTCCTAAAACACATAGTAAATGTACTTATTGGTTTCACCCTTTTCTTCCTGGTCAAGAATTTCTTGGAATATATATTAAAGTCCTGTTGACACAGGACGCCTCAGTTTTCAAAAATACCATGGAACATTTTTTTTTCGGGGGGGGGGGGGCTTTTTGGGGGTAGGGAGTCAGGGAAGTGATAAACCTCTCCTGAAGTCTTAGAAGCTATTTAGACCTAAGGACACAGAGCAAAATTGCCTCCTCTTAGTTGCCTCCTCTTGGACAAACTCCTTGTGTCATACCCATACCTCAAACCCCAAACATGACAATTAGACACTATAATGCTCAGAATATCATACGTTTTCCGAACCCATAAAAATAACTCAGGATTTCCATCTCCCTAGAATGTCATTGTTGCCATTATTTTGTCTAGCAAGTATCTTCACTCTTTAAATCCTTCACTCTCAGGCCCTACCACCCAGGTTTTTCATTACCTTCTCAATAACATTGTAATACCCTTTCATATCTGTAACCAAATCTTAACATACCTCTGTAAACATAATCTCTACCTCTAGGTAGAACTGTGCCCTTTTCATCAATTCCCAGAACCTAACATAATAGTAAATACTCAGTAGATGTTTACTGAATGAATGAAGTCTGTGAATGAATGAATGAGTAGATAGGTGTGTAGACAGAAAGCTGGATGGGTTTATGTAGAATTTGTAAAAACATTTTTTTCTTCTTAGAGGAGTAGAGGAGACGTGGCTTCTAGAACATTAAGGATGATTTCTTAACCTTCATTTAATCAATAAATATTGATTAAATATATTCCATAAGCCAAGTATTATGCTAAGCACTGGGTTTTAAATGGTAGGCAAGACCAGTGGTGTGCCTGTCATATTGGAGAAACTGTCTCACTGCAGCTACTCACCATACATAACTGCTACCACAACTATCCAGACTATCACTGCCACCAAAATCACCCACATAATCTCCACCACCGCCACCACTGCCACAATCACTCTTAGCATCCATATCATCAGTCAATGAGTCTGGAGATGATCTCATAAGGTTTCTTTGATACAGGAAATATTGCCTAAAGCAGTGTTTCATGAACTTATTTGAATCTGATGCGTTAGTCTGAGATTCTACATTTTCAATCAGGAGTGACAGGATCTGATGATGTTGGTCAACCACATTTCAAGTAGGCAGGGTCTAGAGAATATTTCAGTCTCAAAGCACTCTGTTTCAGAGGACACCATGCTGGAGGAGATCAAAAGCTTCACGAAGTTATAGTCATGAGCAGGGACAGAAATGAGGAGGAAAGTACTTTGAAATTTTAAATGGAACTCAGTCTTCTAAGTTAATGGAATTTCTCTTATTTCAAAATTCTATTGCCCAACTCCAGCATGAGATCATCGGGCCATTGGCAAGAAACCCAGAGCCAAGTTTCGTTTTAGTCTGTAAACAAACATACCTTTTACTCAATGGAACTATGGGGTTAAAAGGAAAGCAAAATATGATCTCTGTCTTTAACATTAAAGAAGAGAAGTATCTGACCTTGTCTGAGTCCAAGGAAAAAGTTCTATTTCCAGAACTAAAGATAGAGGGGTAGGCCATTTTCAATTAAAAATTGTGGTCCACTATCTAATGTACTGCCTCCCCAACTCTTACTCACTTGGTATGCACTTTATCAATAGAGCATCAAGTTGTTCTACTCCCAACCCTTTACATTTTTTTACATTAATTTTCTCACTGCTGTTGCTTCCACAGTTACAAAGTTACCAATGTCAGAATGTACTCTTCTAATTGCTGCCTCAAATCTAACCTTCTCTCCAAGTGTTGATGATTGAAAAAAATTATTATACATATCTCAAATCAACTGATAGTCAAAGGGCATTGACTATTTAGAACAGCAATTTACAGTTCTACTGAAAGCTTAAAACACCACATATTTCTAGAACCTGCTCATTTGGGGAAGTCCTGAGACTTCCATCTTCCCCCCACCAGGCTTCTGGACAGGGAAAACAGATGGACGTAGACATGTGAGCAAAGCCAGATCAACAGGTTGTAAGTCAGGCTGATTTATACTCACTGTACTATAAGGAGCAAATGCTCCTTATATTCATTTTCTATGGCTGTTATAACAAATTGCCACAAATGGGGCAGCCTAAAAAAACTTACACCACTGTAGTTAAGAAGTATGAAATAGGTCTTACCCTGCTAAAATCAAGGTATCAGCAGAGCTGTGTCCCTCTTTCAGGGAGAATCCATTGACTTAGCCTTTCCGTCTTCTAGAGTTTGTCCATGTGGCTTGGCCAGTGGCCCTCTTCCTCCATCTTTCCAGCCAGTAATGGTAGGTTCATTTATCACATCACATTCCTCTGATCTTCCCTTAGGTCTTCCTTTTTCACATTTAAGGATGCTTGTGACTACATTGGTCCACCTGGATAATCAAAATTATCTCCCTGCTTTAAGGTCAGCTAATTAGCAGCCTTAGTTCCATCTGCAACCTTAATCCCCTTTGCCATGGAACGTAACATATTTATAGTTTCCAGGGATTAGGACAGGGACATCTATAGGGGGCTATTATTCTGCCTGCCACAATCTACCCTCTGACCTTTAAGATTTATAAGCAAAATACAGTCACACTGTCCCAACCACCCCAAAGTCTCAACCTGACAGCAATTATATGAATTATAGTATTATATAAATATTATCTTAATGATATTATATTGTGATGAATTTAGCTAATAGCACACTTTAATTGACATTCCTTTAAGATGGCTACTTTCCTCTCTAGCAACCAAAAATCAGACTGTTGACTAGTAGAATATGAGACAGGATGGAAGAAGAGAACAAATCTATTGGGTTCGAGATTTAGGCTTTCTAAAGGATTGTAGATTGAAACAACTTCCAGTTTTCTTCACAATATTGAGTTATTAGAGTTGTTTTCCCCTTAAGATCAAAAGTATACAGTACCCTGGCAGGTCCTGGCTGCCCTCATTCCTACAGAAGGATCAGTTCAAGTTCTTTTAAACCTGTAGGAGCCATACCAGTAAAGAAACCTGAGATCTCCAAATTATCTGCCTCCTTAAGTACTTCAAACTACAAAAGAGATAAAGAAAAAACACTGTTCAACCAATGTTATTCGACTATAATCCCAGATAATGTTAATTTTAGATGAAATTATGTGATTAAACAATTTTTATGCTTTAATATCTCCCTTTACATTTTTTACTAATCCTTTTTTCCTCCAATTCCACATTATATCATGCCTACGTAGCTTGTCTTTTAGTTCTCATTCCCCATGGCTGCTCTTTTATTTACTAGGTTGTCACATGAATTTTTCTTAATACATAGCCTTCAAGTATACATGGATCTGAGCAAATCATTTTTCTAGTCTAGTGACAAAAACACTGGCAAATCAAAAATGATGTTCAGTAGAGGAGCTTTTCCTTGGAGAATATGGCCAGACAGTAGATTTTTCTGCATTTTCCCACAATTCCAATTATGCTTTGCTACATATCTGCCATACAAAATATATCTAGGTTGTTCCAAGTCAAAGAACAAGACGTATGAATCCCAAATTTGAAAGATTTATAGCAGAACTGCTAAGCGTCCAAACACATCCAGAAATTAGCCTTATAAAATAGCTTACACTTCTAAAGCAAAGTGGTGGGCACAATCGCAATCTGGCGTTAGTTCCCTTTGGATATACCAGGTGCACAGTTGCTTCCTCCTTTTAGTATGTTTTTTTTCCCTCTCTTCCTTCTTATTGAAGACTCCTAAAACAAGATTTCTGGACTACTTTGGTAATTATTCTCCTCAGTGGTTGCTTAAAACTGCCTACGTTCACCACAGAGTTTTCGTGGTCAACCCTAGATTCTTATGTTGGGATGGCTTTTTCCTTTCCACATAGTCCTCTTGGGAAGGATCCCTTTTAAAGTGATTCCAAGTCAGTTCCCACTCACACATTCCTACTCCACTAGTGGAAGTGTAGATTTCTCTTTTTCTTTATTCTGTTGCCTGAAACCAAAACTCCAGGAAAAACACAGCAAGCCCTCCAAATGCTCCCCTTGGAACTCTTCTCACTTGCATTGGTAGAAAAAAAAAAAAAATGCTACCCTAAAATATGGATGAAAATGATAGTCTCTCCCACTCATTTTCTGCACTCTGTGCTCTTTCATGTTCTTTTTTCCCCAGTCATCACCAAATACATGGGCCATTTGCTATGGAAGAAAGAACTACATGATGAAAGAAGCTTGGATTCCTGAGTCTAAATTTCTTTCTGTTATCATTTTCTTTTCATGTAACTTACTATCATGAATAGCACAATTCCATTTATAATAGTCACAAAGAAAATGAAATACCTAGGAATACAGCTAACCGAGAAGCTGAAAGATCTCTACAAAAACTTCAAAATATCGCTGAAAGAAATCAAAGATGACAAAAATAAATGGCAAAACATTCTGTGCTCCTGGATTGGAAAGATCATTAAAATGGCCATACAGCTCAAAGCAATCTACAGATTCAACACTATTCCTATCAAACTACCAATGTCATTCTTCACAGAATTCAAAAAAATAATTCTAAAATTCATATGGAACCCAAAAAGAGCCCAAATAGCCAAAGCAATCCTAAGCCAAAAGCCTATTTTATAATAATGTGCTGAATAGCTCATGCAATTTATTGAATACTGTACTAAAAGTGAAAATCAGAATGGTTATATGATTACATTTAGCAAATATTTTACTTTAGAATAGTTTTCTGTTCACAGAAAAAAAATGAAAGTATAATGTTCTCAATACCCTATACCCAGTTTCCTCTATTAGTTAACATCTTACATTAGTATGTTACATCCCAGTGACGTCCCAGCATTTGTCACTGGGAACTCTTTCAGTCAGCTCCTGTGTCCCTTTAACATATGCCTCTCATTATGGTATTTTATGTGTGTGTGTTGTACTGTTCTGTTTTGCAAGAGGGCATTGAAAAATTCCTTTTTGGCGCTACGAGATGCTCCAGGCTTATCTCGTATGTTTCCTGCAAAGTCCTAAAATCAGCCATTTCTTCAAAGAACCCTCATTCATTTTATTGAAAAATAATTTTGGAAATCAAGATCTGGGTGCTAGGTGGGCTTCTTGCTACTGAGGTGTAATTGCTTCTAGACTCTCAATCAACAGAGTAAGGAAGTATCTGCATGTATATTGCTCATGTATGTACACATCTATAAAAATATCCATATGTAACGACTTGTATCTATATTAAGCTAAACCTGGGTTCATAATGATACATTTAACTAATTACCACACAGATCATTATATTCTTCTCCCTCTGGGGTATCTGTAATCTACTGCAACAGTGAGAAATCTGGCTCCTATGATTATCATCCATTTATTTAATTGCTTAATTTCAGTATACATGTATACAGCATACCTTGTTTTATTGAAATTTGCTTTATTGCAAAAATGTGACACCATGCTCACTTCATGTCTCTGTGCACATTTTTGGTAACACTATTTCAAACTTTTTCATTAATATTACATCTGTTATGGTGAACTGTGATCAGTGATCTTTGATATTACCATTGCAATCATTTTGGAGTGTCATGAACTGTACCCGCAAAAGACAAAATAATTTTGTGTGTGTTCTGACTGCTCCACTGACCAGTTGTTCCCCTCTCTTTCTCCTTGGGCCTCCATATTCTCTGAGACAATACATTAAAATTAGGCCAATTCATAACCCTACAATGGCCTCTAAGTGGTCAAGGAAGAATCACGCATCTTTCACTTTAAAGGCTAGAAATGTTTAAGCTTAGCAAGGAAGGCATGTTCAAAGCCAAAATAAACCAAAAGCTAGTTTCTTGCACCAAAGAGTTAGCCAAGTTGTGAATGCAAACAAGAAGTTCTTGAGGGAAATTAGAAGTGCTACTTCAGTAAATACATGAAGGAAAGGAAAGTTAAACAACCTTATTACTGACAAGCAGAAAGTTTTAGTGGTCTGGATAGAGGATCAAACCATCCACAGCATTCCCTTAAGCCAAAGCCTAACCCTGAGCAAAGCCCTAACTCTATTCAATTCTATGAAGGCTGAGGGAGATAAGGCAACTTAAAAGTCTAAAGCTAGTAGAGGTTGGTTCACGAGGCTTAAGGAAAGAAACCATCTCCATAACATAAAAATGCAAGGTGAAGCAGCAAGTGCTGATGGAGAAACTGCAGCAAGTTAACCAGAAGTTCTAGTTGAGAAAACTGACGAAGAGGGTTACACTAAACAGTGTTTTGTTTTTTGTTTTTGTTTTTTTGAGACAGAGAGTCTCACTCTGTCACCCAGGCTGGAGGGCAATGGCATGATCTCGGCTCACTGCAACCTCCACCTCCCAGGTTCAAAAGATTCTTTGCCTCAGCCTCCCATGTAGCTGGGATTACAGGCCACCATGTCCAGCTAATTTTTGTATTTTTACTAGAGATAGGGTTTCACCATGTTGGCCAGGCTGGTTTCTAACTCCCGACCTCAAATGATCCCTCACCTCAGCCTCCCAAAATGCTGGAATTATAGGTGTGAGCCACCATACCCGGCCAACAGATTTTCAAGGTAGATAAAAAAGCCATATATTGGAAGAAGATGCCATCTAGGACTTTCATAGCTAGAGAGCAGAACTCGATGCCTGGCTTCAAAGCTTCAAAAGATAAATTGACTCGTTAGGGTTTAATTCAACTGGTAACTTTAGTTGAAACCAATGTTCATTTACCATTCTGAAAATTCTAGAGCTCTTAAGAATTATGCTAAATCTACTATGCATATGCCCTATAAATGGAACAGCAAAGCTTGGATAACAGCACATGTTTACAGCATGACTTACTGAATATTTTAAGCTCATTATTGACATCTGCTTAGAAAAAAAAAGATTCCATTCAAAGTGTTACTGCAAATTGCCAATGCACATGGTGACTGAAGAACTCTGATCGAGAGGTACAAGGAGATTCGTGTTGTTCAAGTGTGTCTACTAACACAACTTCTATTGTGCAGACCATCTATAAAGGAGTAATTTTAATGTTCAAATCTTTTTAAGAAATACATTTCGTAAATCTGTAGCTAGCATAGATAGTGATTACTCCAATGGATCTGGCCAAAGTAAACTGAAAATATTCTGGAAAGGCCTCACTCATCTAGATGTCATTAAAAACATTCATGATTAATGGGAGTAGATCAAAGTAACAACACTTATACGAGTTTGGAAGAACTTGATTCCAAGCCCTCCTGATAACTTTCAGGGGTTCAAGACTTTAGTGGAGGAAATCACTGTAGACGTGGTAGATAGAACTAGATTTAGAAGACGGGAACCCGAAGATGTGACTGAATTGCTACCATCTCATAAGACTTGAATGAAGAGTTACTTCTTATACATGAGCAAAGCAAGCGGCTTTTTGAAATGGAAACTACTGTGATAAAGATGCTGTGAATACTGTTGAAATGACAAAGAATTTAGAATATTATGTACACTTAGTTGACAGAGAACTGGCAGGGTTTGAGAGGATTTATCAAAACTTGAAAGTCCTATGCAGAAAGATTATAACTCACTAAAGGCTTGGATGATTTTTAGAATTTTTAAGTAATAAAATATTTTTAAATTTAGGTATGTACATTTTTAGACATAATGCTATTGTACACTTAGACGACTTCATTATAGTGTAACCATAACTTTTATATGAACTGGAAAACTGAAATTTTTTCTGACTCACTTTATTATGATATTCACTTTATTACTGTGGTCTGGAACCCTGGAACCAAACCTGCAGTGTCTTTGAGGTATGCCTGTGTACTGGTTTTAGAAACAACTTCATCAACCAGAATAGAGTGTTTATGTACCATTTATTTTTCCTTTAGCCTTACAGATTTCACTCACTTCCAAAGTTACTTAGGTCAGCGCCTTTTTCCCTAACCCTTTCAGTTAAGTTGTTTCTTATATTTCTAATACAGTTAGATACTTTTATCACATTCTGTATTCCGTTGATACTTCAACTTCTTAATTTTTTTAATTTGCATATATTAAGGTTCACTCTTTGTAAAGTTGTATATGGGTTTTGAGAAATGCACTTGCAAATGAAATCTGGCATCATAATATCATACAGACTAGTTTCACTACTCTTAAGAAGTTCTCTGGGCTTCATCTATTCAATCTTCCCCAAATCCTAAGCCTCTGACAAACACTATTTTCTTTATCATTGTCTTTTCAGAATGTCATATAAATGAAATTACATAATAGAATAAGACAGTAATAATCAATGGAATACTATAGAATCATAGCCTTTTCAGAATGTCTTCTTTTACTTTTGACTGTACATTTAAGATGCATCCATTTATTTACATGGCTTAATAGCTTATTTCTTTTTAGATCTTGATTGTTCCAATTTTTTACGATTACAAATGAAGCTGCTATAAACAGCCATGTGAAGATTTTTGTTTGAACCCATGTTGTCTTGATCAGTCTAGGTTTTTGCCTTTCCATATATACTTTAGACTCAGTTCATCAGATATCTAAATAGCTTGCCATGATTTTGTTTAGGATTGCAGTAAGTCAAGCTGTGAAGAATTGCCATCTTGACAATATTGAGTCTTCCAATCAATGAATATAGTGTATCTCTACATTTATTTAGATATTTGATTTCTTTCATTAATGTTTTGTTTTCTTCAAATCCTGTACATATGTTAGATTTATATGTAAGTATTTTCTAGGTGTCATTGCAGACATTTTTTAATTTTTTAGTGCTGGAATATAGGAAAGCAATTGACATTTGTATACAGATCTTGTATCCTGTGACCTTACTATAATTGCTTATTAGTTCCAGTTTTTACACAAATGGTTTGGGATTTTTCTACGAACACAACAATATCATCTGCAAATAAAGACTGCTTATTGCCTTGTCACCTTGTTTCTTCCTTTCCAATCTGAAGTTTTCTTTTCTTTTGTCTTACTGCTCTATCTAGGACTTCTAGTATGATGTTGAATAGAAGTGATAATATAGAATAATCTTGCTTTCGTCCCAATTTTAGGCAAAAAGTACTAAGTCTATAGTCTTCATCAATTTGAGGCAGTATTCTGCTATACTGTTTGCTCAATTTCTAAATCATGAATGTGTGTTGCATTTTGTCAATGCTACATGTTAAAAATATGGCCCTATGATTTTTCTTCTTTAGCCTGTACATTGGCAGATTATATTGATTTTTAAATATTGACCCAACCCAAGCATGCTTGCCTGAAATATCACTTACTAATGGCATATAATTAATATATTATTAGCCCTGATTTACTAATATTTTGCTGAGTTTTTTTTTTTATATCTATGCTCATTGGATATATTAATTCATAGTCTTCCTTCTTTGTTGTTGGGAAAAGCTGAGTGTTGGGAGAAGTTGAGGCAGGGCTTGCATGTCTGACGTAACATAAAATTCTTGGAACATGTCCAGGGTCCAGGGTCTAAAACCCCTTGTGGCCTTTGTAACACCAAGCTCTGTGCTAAAGGGTGGAAGACCACCCTGATGCACCATAATCTATGCCCAGGTCATAAAACCCCTCGTGGCTTGGACAGAATACAGGGCTCGTGGCTCTGGAATGTATCTAGACTTGCTGGCTCCTTGCTCCCTGCTTTCCCGGGATCGATTGTAAAAGAACAAATAGCAGAGCATATGCTAAACCATCACAGCTGTAAAATCATGTGCTTAATGCAACACTCCCTTTCCACCCCACATTCTTACCACCTGTTTGATCACCAATAAATAGTCTTGGCTTCCAGAGCTCGGGGCCTTCGCAGCCTCCATACACTAGCCATGGCCCCCTGGTCCCACTTCTCTCTCAAACTTTTTCTCATGCCTTTGACTCTGCCGGACTTCCTCACTCCCACGACCTGGTGTTGGGTCTGATCACCCCAACACTTGTAATATTTTTTTTATCTGGTTCTGGTAGCAGAGTAGTGCTGGCCTCATTCCTTCTATTTTCTGGAAGAGCCTGTGGAGAATTGGTATTATTTCTTCTTTAAATGGTTGGTACAATTTGCCAGTGAGGCCATCTAGTCCTTGTAATTTCCTTCTTGCAAATTTATTAGTTATTGATTTGATTTCTCTAATTGATGTAGAGGTATTCAAGTTATCTATTTCTCTATTTCTCCTGTATGAGTATTGATAGTTTGAGACTCTCAGGAAGTCTTTTCATTTCATTTAAGCAATTAAATTTCTAGGCATTTTAATGCTCTCTATGTACTGATTTCATAACATCCTATCAATCTTTTGATAAGCATTCTCATTTTAATTTAGTTCATAATGTTTTTACATTTTTCTTGGGATTCCTTCTTTGATTCATGACTTATTTCAAAGTATGTCTAATTTTCAAACAGTTCTGGCTCAGAATTTGGTCTTACTTGTTGATAGTACTATTCACATCATCTCTGTTCTTATTTTCGCCTTCTTGATTAACCAATTACTTGCAGAGGGGTGTTGAAGTCTTCACTATAATAGTGGATTTATCTATTTATCCTTTTATTCAGTTTTTGCCTCATGTATTTTGACACTCTCATTACGTGCATACACATTAAGGATTTTTATGTCTTTTTGGGTAATTTATCCCTATATTGTTATGTATCTCTTTATCCATAATATCCCAAATTCTAAAGGCTTTGTCTGAATATAGGTAATTCTACTTTCTCTTGATTCGTGTTGGCATAGTATCTTTTCCCCTTCCTCTACTTTTAACTATCTGAATCTTTGTATTTAATATGAGTTTCCTGTAAACACCATATAATTGGGTCATGTTACCATTGTTGTTTTTAATTCCCATTGTAATATGTCTTTGATGTATTTAAAGGTAAATGGTCTAAAGAACTTGTTGATATAATTGGATTAATATTTCCTGTGTTTGTAACTTTTTTCTATTCATTGCATTTTTCCCTTTGTTCAAATTTTTCATCTTAGACATTTAAATTTAGTCCTAGAATTCCATTTTATATGGTTGATCTATTCATTCAATTATGCTAATCATTTAAGCCTTTGAGCATACACTGTTTTAAACCACTGTTTTAAAGCCCTTCTGATAATTCCAGTATCCGTGTTTGTTCCTACTGACTTTTCCCTTATGGGTCACATTTTTCTGTTTCTTCGCATACATATTTTCTTATGTTCTGGACTCTCGATTTTGCTGTCTTATTTGAAAGGGCATTCTGGCAGGGAAATTATTACACATCTACCTGCACATGATCCTGTAAGGCTTGGTTTTATGCATTGCTAGGTTGTGTCCATTTCTGTCTTTCCATAGTTCTTGGACACAGCACCAACACTCTACAGTTGACCCTCTAACACCACATGTTTTAACTGGGCAGTTTTACTTATACGTAGATTTTCTTCCACCTCTGCCAGCCTTGGGGGAAGGTAAGACTGATGTCTTCTCTTCCTCTTCCTACTCAATATGAAGATGACAAGGATGAAAAACTTGATAAACCCACTTCTATTTAGTGGATAGAAAATGTATGTTCTCTCCCTTATGATTTCCTTAATAACATTTTTTTCTCTGGCTTACTTTACTGTAATATAGCATATAACACATAGAACATATAAAATATGTGTTAACTGTTTATTTCATCAATAAGGCTTCCAGTCAACAATAGACTATTAGTAGTTAAGTTTTATGGGAGTCAAAACTTATATACAAATTTTTTTACCATTTGACAGGTCAGCATCCTTAACCCCCACAATTTTCAATGTTCAACTGTATATACTGAAAAACAAAGGGAGTGATTCTCCACATCTTCACATTATATCTATATGTAACAAAGGAATTTCCACAAAGAACTCAGAGAGAAAAGTTAAAAGAATATACTATGTATTACTTTTAATGCTTATATCACACTAATATCAATAAAAATTCTAAATGCCATATATGTATTTCCTTATATAGCCTTACTCTGGTTTCATTTCACAGATAAGACAACCAAGACGTTTAGAAGTTAAGCATCTTGACAAGTAAATTTAGCAGATTTCCAGAAGGAAAGTAAGAAAACAACCTACCAGAAATTGTACCATACCCATAATTTTCCATATAGATTACAACAAATTCATATTAAAACATGAAATCCTGTTTTAATCCAGGTAAGTCATAAGTGATCAAAATTCATGAATAATTAACATAATTGTATATGTATCAATCAATTATATTTACTAATCTTCAGGGGTCAGTTCTGATCCTATAGTCTCTTAAGGGATGTTAAAAAACTTACCTTTAAAATGATGCAATTAAAATAAGTACCATTTTCCTTAAATATTAGTATCTTCCTAATACTATGAGGGTTTCCATGTCGTTTATGTGGTGTTTTGGCTTTCTTCCTATAGCTTATCAGTGGATAATGGCTTACAAAATTAATGGGTGAGAAAAAAAAATCAACTATGTTTTATGATTATTATACCAATGAGTAAATAGGCATGCATCATTTACCCAGGAACAGATGTATTACTCAAGCAAGGGCTTAGACTATCTCTCAATCAGGACTAATGGGACTGTATTTTAATGACAAAATTCTTCAAAGTACCAGATCAGATTTAAATCAGTTCATTTTGCTAAAAGGAAAAAAGCAAGTATGCACCTTGCTGCTCTGGCCTCTGCCAGGCTACTGCTTCAGTCTTGAGGATTTATCTTAGAAAATGTGTGAAGTATTTGAAAAATCATGAGGGACATGGAAGAACACATCAATAAAACAATACTACAGTAAGGCTATGAATGCCTTTGAGGTTTGCATATTTATTTAATATTTCATCTGTTACCAGCTAAAAGCAATGTTTTAAAATAAGAAAAAATAATTTTAAACAAGCCTTTAAAAATACTGACAGAATACCACCCACATAAAAATAAAGCCAAAACTTTGAGATGTTATCAAACATGTATCTTCTTGGTATATCATTAAAAATTACCTCAATAATTTAATAAATATCTCACTTTCCAGATAACACATTTTAATGTTTTAAAGAAACCTGTCTTTTCAAAGGAAAGCTCATGAAACTCATGAGCCAGTGAGAGGAGTCACAATGTTATGAAAGGAATCAGAAACCTTGGATCTCTGATTTCAATGTCAGTTTTTACCTAATTCAATTCAGTTTTGTGGTGTCATAAAATCGTAATTTTTTTTTTTAACAAAAAAATGCTGATCTAGAAAAAAGGTGTCATACAGATGGCAGTAAAGTCCAAGGACAGTAAAATAATAAACTGGTAGTATTTCAGTCCATTCATGCTGCTATAACAAAATACCAAACCAGTAATTTATAAACAGAATTTTATATAAATTCTGTTTATATATAATTATATATATATAATTATATACAATTCTGTTTATATATAAACAGAATTTATTCTCACCATTCTGGAAGTCAGGAAGTCCAAGGTTTACGCACCAGCAGATTCACTCGCTGGAGCAGGCTCACTTTGTGCTTCCAAGATGGAACTTTCACATGGTGGAAGGGGAAGGAAGGGGCAAACTCTGCCACTCCAGCCCTTTTATGACACTCATTTATCAGAGCAGAACCCTCACAGCCTCATCATTTCCCAAGGGCCACACCTCTTAATACTATCACTTTGGGGGTTAAGCCTCAACACAGGAAGTTTAGAGAGAAACATACGCTCAAACCATAGCAGACAGAAACACATAAGAACAATAATAGAGGAGATAAACTTCAGGCAAGAGATGTCAACACATCTTCAGAGATGGAAAGCACACAGATGACTGAGCAGAGCTAAGAAATGTGCACCCTAATTGGCTAAAGAGTGATTTCTGATTCAGATAGCACAACTCAAGAAGTAGTCAGGAATCAATGGCACCAGCCACCACTGTAAGCGGTCTAGAGAGGGAGGACTAATGAGAAGGTTAGTTAAGAGTCTGATTAAGGAGTTCTTACTCCCTGAGATCCTCTTCCCGTGAAACAGCATGGCTGACTGTGCTTCTACTACCTTGGCAAATGTAGTAGGCAGAATTCTAAGAATGACCTCCTTTGAGTGCGGCTGGAACCTGTGAGCATGATGAGATATCACTCCCCTAGTTGTTACATTATATAGCAAAAAGGAAATCCAGATGCATCACATGAAAATCACATCAGCCCTTTAAAAGCAGAAAGTTTCTCCAGCTGGTAGCAAAAGAAAAAAATGAAGTCAGAAAGATTCAAAGCCTAAGGAGGATTTGATGTGCCATTGCTGGCACTGAAGGTAGTAAGGACCCGGAACCTCAGAACTGTAATTTCCAACAACGTCAGTAAACTTGGAGGCACTCTTCTCCAGAGTCTCCAAATAAGAGTCTGGCCAAAACCATAATTTTAGCTTTGTGAGACCCCTAGCAGAGGACCCAGCTAAGCCTGCTTGAACTTCTGACCTGTAGACCTGTGAGCTAATTAGTGGATGTTGTTTTGAACCACTAAGTTTATGGTCATTTGTTATGCAGAAATAGAAAACTAATCAATCTGTCTACTATTATTATAGTGGATACTATACTACAGATAGTAGATACTAAAATCTACTATTATTTATAATTATATGCTATAACATGTTATGTGAAACAAAATATTGTATATTGCCCATAAATTATGCAAATACTCTATTTATAACATACCTATGTAATTAACTTGAACGTATATAAAGAGACAGGAAGTTTATTTTCTGATGTTTACCAAGGTAGATGTTAATAAGTCTCTGAAACACACTTAAAAACTACCAAGGAGGAGCATATATTTAACGATAATCTCCAATATGGAAGACAGAAGACAAAATCAAACTAAACAAAGACGACTCAAGGAAATAAATGGAGCAACAATGGAAAGCAGAAGGGAACTCCAAAATACCTAAGATTAAAACAATTACACAGATAAGATAATTGAGAGTCACAATCAAAAACTCAGAGTTCTTGGAAATAAAATAGAAGAAAAGAAAGAGAACAGCTGCTGAAACAAAAGACTTCAATAGAAACTTTGGAAAATAGAATTGAACCATCTTGTAGATGAGAAAAAAACCAAAGAGCGTATTAGTACATCAACAGAGAAGATTGAATATCTGTCCATCAGAAATTCCAGAGAGGACAAAAATACAGATATTACAAACAACTTCCCAGAACTAAACACATAGATTTCAGATTAAGATAGTCTATTAGGACCCCAGCACAACAAACTGAAAATAACTCATACCACAGTGCATCATCTCCTACCTATAGCCACACCCTTGCGTGGTTTTTTTTTCCCCTCAAAAGTCCACCAACTTTGACTTTGCTTTCCTTTTTTGCAAGAATATTTTCAATGTTCCTGAAGTGCCTGTTCCTGACATTGTCACAGGTGTCATCCTTGATCAGAACAGAACTCCTCCTTTAAACAAAAGACCATTCTTTTTCTGATGGTCCCGGCTATTCCTCATACTTGTTCCAACTGCCTCAGTGGCCTTGATCCATTCTCTATCTAGTATTGCTGGATGTTTGCAACTTAACATTCTTGGATCTCCAGTAATCTCTAAGAGATCTTTATTATGCAAATCAACCCCTCTACACCTAATTTCTCAAGAGGTTCTCCATTTCTCAAGCTCATAAATAAATGAATTCATATGGCTATTTACCAAAGTAAATTACTATAGTTTCAAAGAATAAATTCCATGCCCCTCCCTTCATGGTAGAATGACATATTCCAACAGCATATTTTCCAAGTGAATGAATATTTTCCATGTACCCATGAGCTGCCAGAGGTTAGTGTGTAATATGTCAGGTGAAGACAGGGCAGTTCAAATTCCCGTTTTGAAGAAGACACTCTGCTATGCTAAAACAGAGTTGGAAACCCTGTAGGTTTGCTCTGACCTGGCTTTGCAAGAACAGTTTAACAGACCTCGCAGCCTGTTTCTACTCAGAAGACAAGGAATGATTCATGAGCCAAATTTTAGGTTCCGCATGTTCCTTTTTGCCTGTCACATTCTGAAAAACAGTGTACTCGTGTGCAGAGAACAGGACACAATGCCTTTAAGCCCTAGTCGTCTTTCAACAACATAGTGGAAGACTAGAAGATGTGGCTTTTCAGAACACTTACGTACAAAACAATCTACTTGCAAATGACAGAATAAAGACAAAACTGAAAAAAGAAGAACCTTTTCAACCAAGAGATTCTAAGATAAAGGTTACTATTCTCCTAGAATTTTAATGAATCCATTTAGTCACTGACCCCTGGAGAATGTCAAGTTCCACATTTGCATTGAAATGGTAGTGAACGCTCATGCTTCTTAGCAGTTTATCACACCAAGACTGCTGTGTTACTCTCTTCCTCTTTCTGTGTATATGTACACACAATCTTTTTTTCTCCATTGTAACTGTCAAATCTCAATATTTTTTCTGAAGCCTGATAATAGGGTTGAAAAATGTGACCAAGTTAGACTTCAGAAGAGATTCTTTTAAGTTCCAGGTTGTGTGTGCAGGACACGCAGGTTTGTTACATAGGTAAATGTGTGTGCCATGGTGTTTTGCTGCACCTATCAACCCGTCACCTAGGTATTAAGCCCAGCATGATTTAGCTATTTTTCCTGATGCTCTCCTCTCTGCCCTTTTTCCTACAGGCCCCAGTGTCTGTTGCTCCCCTCCCTATGTCCATGTGTTCTCATTGTTCAGCTCTCACTTATAAGTGAGAACACACTGTGTTTGGTTTTGTTTTTGCATGTGTTTCCTGAGGATAACAGCTTCCAAATTCATCCATGTCCCTAAAAAGGACATGATCTCATTCCTTTTTATGGCTGCATAGTGTTTCATAGCATATATGTACCACATTTTCTTTATCCAGTATATCACTGAGGAGCATTTGGGTTAATTCCATGTCTTTGCTATTGTGAATAGCTGCAATCAACATACACATCCATGTATCTTTATAATAGAATATATCATCTTTATAAAAGAATGATTTATATTCCTTTGGCTATATAGCCAGTAATGGGAATGCTGGGTCAAATAATATTTCTGGTTCTAAGTCTCCTAGGAATCACCACGCTGTCTTCTACAATGGTTGAACTAATTTGCATTCCCATCAACAATATAAAAGTGCTCCTATTTCTCCACAGCCTCACCAACATCTGTTGACTTTTTAAATAATCGCCATTCTGACTGATGGGAGATGATATCTCATTGTGGTTTTCATTTGCATTTCTTTGATGATCAGTGATGTTGAGCTTTTTTTCATGTTTGTTGGCTGAATGTATGTGTCTGTTCATATCCTTTGTCAACTTTTTAATGGATTTTTTTCTTGTAAATTTACTTAAGTTCCTTGTAGATTCTGGAAATTAGACCTTTGTCAGATGGAGAGATTGCAAAAATCTTCTCCCATTCTGTAGGTTGTTCGCTTTGATGATAGTTTCTTTTGCTGTGCAGAAGTTCTTTAGTTTAATTAGATCCCATTTGCCAATTTTTCCTTTTGTTGCAATTGCTTTTGGTGATTTCATCATAAAATCTTTGCCAATACCTATGTCCTGAATTGTATTGCCTAGATTTTCTTCTAGGGTTTTTATAATGTATAGTTTTATACAATTTATCATCTTGGGTTTTACATTTAAGTCTCTAATCCATCTTGAGTTAATTTTTACATAAGATGTTAGGAAGGGATCCAGTTTCTATTTTCTGCATCTGGCTAGCAGTTCTCCCAGCACCATTTATTAAATAGGAAATGCTTTCCCTATTGCTTTTACTTGGTTTGTCAAAGATCAGATGGTTGTAGATGTGCAGTTTTATTTCTGAGTTCTCTATTCTGTTCCATTGGTCTATGTGCCTGTTTTCGTACTAGTACCATGTTATTTTGGTTAGTGTAGCCTTGTAGAGCTTGAAGTTGTGTAGCCTGATGCCTCCAGGTTTGTTCTTTTTGCTTAGGA
Organism: Homo sapiens; assembly: GCF_000001405.40. Classification (NCBI taxonomy): domain Eukaryota; kingdom Metazoa; phylum Chordata; class Mammalia; order Primates; family Hominidae; genus Homo; species Homo sapiens. Next base: position 23,907,243 of record NC_000006.12, read on the forward strand.
TAGTCTTGGCTCTCAGAGCTCTTTATTGGTTCCATATGAATTTTAAAATATTTAAATTTTTTTTTCTACTTCTGTGAATAATGTCAATGGTAGTTTAGTGGGAATAGCATTGAATCTATAAATTGCTTTGGCACTATGACCATTTTCACAATATGGATTCCTCCTACCCAAATGTAAACACAAGTATCAATAGTCAAGTTGACCAAGTGGAAGAAAGAATATCAGAGCTTGAAGACTATCTTGCTGGAATAAGGCAGGCAGACTAGATTAGAGAAAAAAAGAATGGAAAAGAACGAACAATGGGACTATGTAAAAAGACCTTTAGATTCAAGAACTATGAGACTATGTAAAAAGACCTTTAGAACTAGAGATTCTGTGCTAAATGAACACAAATGTGAACCAGCCAAAGACTCATCATGAGATGTAAATTTGGATACAAAACTTAATATTTTATTAAAGTTTTAGGGTACATGTGCACAACATGCAGGTTACATATGTATACATGTGCCATGTTGGTGTGCTGCACCCAGTAACTCATCATTTAACATTAGGTATATCTCCAAATGCTATCCCTCCCCCCTCCTGATAACAGGCCCCAGTGTGTGATGTTCCCCTTCCTGTGTCCATGTGTTCTTGAAGACTTAACATTTTAAAGAGTACTCTGTAAGAGCAAGTTAAGGAGTCCCTCAATCATAAAGGAGGACATTGAAATAAGTTAAACTACCTATTGCCTGTTTTCAAATAGCCCATTGGAGTCTTACTGTATAATGACAACACAAGCAGAAATTGTCCCAGTGGCTGCCTCCTGGGTCGAGGTTAGCTAGCAGTGATGCCCACACCAATCTTCTCTGTTGAGATAACTCCTATCTCTTATCTCCCTCCAAGTTCTTTTAATATCTTGCTTTTACTTTCATTCATTAAAGCCCTCTTAGTGAAGATGTTATAAAGATATTATGAAGAAACAGGATGTTTGACATGCAGGTTTCAAAGCCTGCTTCTATATGCCTGGGTATTTGCATTTTATCCAGACAAAAACCTGTAGCAGTAATAGATACATGTATAAACAGGGTGCCATTTGTTTCCATTTTTCCTTTTTAGAGGCTTAAAAGTTTACATTACTCAGGTCATCTCCATTGTATCACAATAGCAGAATAAGTTATACTCAGAGTTTGCTCAGTCTAAGCACGCAACACTTCCTCGGCAGCTCGGGGACCCATAGGAACCCTTGACATAAAGCAAATAGTGAGATGAACCTGAGTGAATCAGAGACCTTCAAGTGAAATATGAGGAAAGCTACAAAGCAGTCTGCCCAGGGCCATTAAGATGAAGACTATTAAGATAATACTAATCCCTGGCCTAGCCCCACCATCCACACACTCCCAAGTCAGAAGTTGTGGCTTGCAAGTGGCCATTTAAATTATTCAACGGGCGTAAAGTCTCCACTTGCTAACAAGATCATCACTTTGATAGCTCACAAAATAGATCTAAAATCTATACTTTGATAGCTCACAGAGTAGATCTAAAATTCTAAAAAGAAAGATAACAGCAGAAATAGGCAGCCCATAGAAAGGCAACATCCCCCATTTTATTTCTCATATGATAATCTCAGAGGACTAGGATAAGAAGACTTCTCAAATTTATGTCACTTATCATATATTCCAAAAAATTGAGGCATAGAGGGCAGAAGTGATTTGCCCAAGGATATAAGCAGAACCAACCCTAGAATCAAAGTCTCCTAATTTGTAGACCAACTATTTCCACCATAGTGTGCTGATTCTTCTGGTTTAGAAATAAAACCAGTCTTGACCCCATACCGGTTCACAGACAACCTGAGGGTTCCCTAGGGACAAAGAAGGACTCTAATCCCCCAAAAATATAGATCTTCAGACTTCTTATATCTAGATTGTCCAAGACACTGAAATTCAACATAATTAAAGGAAATATGTAAACTTCTGGTGGTGAGAAAGGTCAATCACACAAAGTATGCAAAGTTTGCCAAGACCAAATTTTTACCACATCCTGCTACTATCCATTTCCAGCTGTATATGGAATACAGAAAGTCTTCTGATCACTTTCTAGGTTATTATAGCCCCCTTTGCACCCTCTAACAAAAACTTTAAGACATTTAAAAATGCAGTAAACCAACCGTATTTACAGTTGCAATTCACCTGGGATTTCCAAAAGAATATGTGCTCCAGCATTCGCCTATTTTCTTAGGAAGTATACAGATCCATATATACCCAAGGCCTTTTTCTGTGCTCATAAAGCAAACTTTCCTAGTCTTACTCTTATTGTAATAATAGAGTTCATAATATTTGCCCACAGAGTACAATGTTTATAAACATAAATGCTCATCTCTGCCATATCTCTATGAGGGGGACCCAGGAGCCCAGGAACCAGTTATATCCCTCTCAATGTCAACTCCATGCTCCTTGGACATATTTCCATAGTATGTCCCACTAAGTAACTCCTGCAGTTAGTTTAGGCATTTAGGAGCATTTTTTTTTCTATTATTATTGGTTCTTTCTTGCCTTATTTTGCAATTTGATGACTCTTTTCTCTTCCATAACCAACCCCAAACAAAAGGGGTAATTATTGACATCCTGATGAATCTCTTTGTTCTAAAAATTGCTGAGTGTTACAGACGGAATGTTTGTGTATCCCCAGAATGCATATGCTGAAATCCTAATGAAATGGTTTCGTTGTCTGGGGTAAACACCTGAGGTAAGGCATCTCACACCAGGAAAATTTAGAACATGGACACACACACAAGGATTTTAGGAATGGAGGTTTAATAGGCAAAAGAAAGAGGAGAAAAGCTCTTTCTCTAGTGACAAAGGGGGGCTTTGGAGAGAAATGACCGGTCCATGGTGAATTCGCCGGATATTATAGGCAGGCTTGAGGATGCTGTGTCTGATTTACATAGGGACCACAGATTGGTTTGATCAAGTGTGATGTTTACACAGCATGCTGGGAAGGCTGGCTACCCCCACCATAATCTTATTATGCAAATGGACTATCCACTTGATCAAGGCCATCTTGTCTGCTCCTTACTATACACGTGGCTGGCAAAAAAATGGAGCCACCATTTTTAACACGCCTAGTCCCAGGTAGTATTTTTCTGCCAATATTCACCCATGCAAGCTTCCAGCTTGTCTATGTGTGCAGTTCAATTTTATAGGCTACTCTGTTAGAAAAAAAAAAAAAAACAGATTTGGAGGCTGCTTTTCCTTAAAAGGAAAACATTAACAAGGACTTCTGTACCCTCACTATCTGCCTAAGTGTTTCTTTTTAACTGCTTCATCACTAATTCCCAGTGTTACGGTATTAGAAGGGAGGTGCTTAGCCCATGAGGGCAGAGCTTACATGAATGGGAGCTCCTTTGTCCTTTATACCAAACAGCTGTCTATGAACCAGGAAGCAGGCCCTCACAGGACACTGAATTGGCTGGTGCCTCGATCTTGGACATCCCAGCCTTCAGAACTGTAAAAAATTTGTTATTTATAAGCCACTCAGCATAGGGCATTCTGTTTTAGCAGCCTGAGTGGACAAAGACACTTAGTGACTCTGATTTGGGAGAAACAAACAAAAACCCTTGGATTCTGCACTTAAAGAGGAAGGAAGACAATTTACAGAGTAAGAAAATTTAGGGTGAGACTATCCTGAAGCCTGAAGAATAAAACCAAAGCAATTCAAACCAAGATAAACCAATAGATTTCTCAGGAGGCCAAGAGATCATGGAAAGAGAATGTTCTTACCTTAGAGACAAACACAAATAGCTATACTAAGAAATCTTACAGAAACGTGCAGACTGAGTTATCTTTCACATGGAAAAAGCCAACGTTCATCTCTACTCCATGTATCTCTTAGCTACCTACTCTTGTAGGTTTCTAACCTGTTCAAATATTATTTATATCTTTATCCAGTACTGCATCTGAGGATGGTGACATTCTGACCTACTAATAATATCAGACTTAGAATTGTGGGGCACAAGACACATTACTGAACTTCACTACAAAAATTGAGTTTGGATCTCTAGGGAATGGAAAAGAAGCTGATGGTGCCAAGTTGATCACAAACGCAAAATGTAGACAAATTGCAGACTTGGCCAAAGCTAAAAGCCAAGACTGAAGATGCAATGAAATGGTCAACCCATTCCAATGAACTTCTAAGAGAAGTTTAATAGTATATCCAAAACAAAAGGACTATCCTCATCAATATCATTAGTTACTGAGGTAAATAGCAATCAGGTTTTTTTCTTTTTTAATCTCTTTGCTGACTTTTTGCTGTTGATACCTTTACTGCCATGAGAGTGCTATACCCTTCCTGCAATTAACTGGCTGTCTGGAGACCTACTACTTTAATGGGCATTATCCAACAAAAGGAGTACAAAGAAAACGTGGAAATTTTCGCCAATTTCTCTTAGAAGCATGACATAGTAAATGGATCATTTCACTAAAAGGATAATTGGAAGTATGACATGGAAACCATATAATGCTACAAAATACTTCAAAGCAAAGGCAAAGATACCTGGTTTTCTAACTATTTCTAGAATTATAAATTGGATATAAAGAAACAAAAAGACAAACATGATAAATTTTCAGATCTTAATACCCAGGAAGAAAAAAAATAATTATTTCTAAAAGAAGCCAGTCCTAAAAATTGACAGTAAGCCAAAAATCTAGGACCCTGGAAACAAGACATTTCCAGAACATATGCATGGGGTGGGGGTGGTAGATACATCATAAATATTGCTTTCTGTTTCAAGATTTTAAAATTTGAAATAATTTTCGCTTCCATATGTTTTCTCCTAATTACTATTCAGAGGCATACAGACATTAAATAGTTGTACGGGCAATTTTTATTTGTGCTTCCACCTCATTATCAGATATTAATCCGTTCATTTTTGCATTGCTTTTATAAGTACTGTTTTAATGGTAATACAAAATTCCATTATACTGATATATTAAATTAATATAACTGTTCAACAAATGAGGTATCTTTTGAGTTGTAAATGGTTGTTCAACTCTTACAAATAAAAATTGGGGTTTGTTTTAAGAGGTTTTTCTATGTAGATGTGGGGTTACAGCAAGGTGGGAGACGAGGTTTTCTTGAAGGCCAGAACAAACTTCAGTGAACAGTATTCCAGTAAGTCTTACAGAGAGCGCTGAACTCCCAAAAGTTTGTGTTCCATCTGTGTTTCTGTAACTTAACTTTCTCAAAGATACTGTTATGGCTCAAATCATTTGTAAGTTACAGGTGGTCTATTACTAATATTAAAGTATAATTTAGAATTTCTTTTAAAAGGACAGATTTAAGATTATCCTGTAATGATGTCTCAAAACTATGTTCCAGTGTACAGTTTCACTGGGAAAGCAATATATGGGTAAACTCAGAAAAGCTGTGCATATGTCATTTCATATATAACACAATGATGACAAAGATTTTTAGGAAATGGCTAGCACCATCCTTAATTTTTGCTCTAATGCTGAACAGATTGATGTCTTATGGGAGGCCTAGTTTCCTAGTAAAGGCAGAGGTTTCTTTCCTGTGCACTGCTCTGGAAATTTGCTCTAAAATACCCTGGTTGCCACGAAGAGCTAGTAATATGGGGGAAAAAAAATGGAAGAGAGGATAAAGAAACACTATTAAAAGAAAGGTGTTTTTTCTAACACTGCCAACCTCTGTCTCTGTCTCTCTCCCTCTCTCTCTCCCGTCCCCGCCCTCCCCCCAGCTCTTTTTCTCTAATAGCTGTAGGGAAAAGAAGCATGGGCACAAGAAAATTTAAGATGTGCCAGTGGTTCTCAAATCTGGAAAACCACTACAATTATCTGAGTAGTTTTAAAAACAAAAAACAAAAACCAATGCTTAGATCCTGCCTGAAAACAGGTTTTAAATTAATTCGTATGGGGTCAAATTTTTAGAAGCTTCACCATGACTCTCATGTGCAAAGTTTGAAAACTACTGAGATACATGACTCAATAAGTTAGCAGCAGCATTAATAGGACCAGGTTAATGAACTTTAACAATTAAGGTGCTTTCTTTCCTCAGGATCCGAAATTAAATTAATGCTTCTGGCCAGGTGCGGTGGCTCACGCCTGTAATCTCAGCACTTTGGGAGGCCAAGGCTGGCGGATCACGTGGTCAGGAGATCGAGACCATCCTGGCTAACACGGTGAAACCCCCTCTCTACTAAAAATACAAAAAAAAATTAGCCGGGCGTGGTGGCAGACTCCTGTAGTCCCAGCTACTCGGGAGGCTGAGGCAGGAGAATGGCGTGAACCTGGGAGGCGGAGCTTGCAGTGAGCCGAGATCGCGCCACTGCACTCCAGCCTGGGCGACAGAGCAAGACTTCTCCATTTCAAAAAAAAAAAATTAATGCTTCTAAGTATAAAACTGTAACTATAACTCATAGAAAACAAAGCAGCACAGAATTCAACAATATCTTTTAAATGCAGTATCCATTAGGAAGGACTACTGTTTTAAAAAGCCTCAGCACTAAAATTGGCTACTTGCAATACCAAATGGTAGTTTTCAGTTTGACTTGGTTTCTTCAACCTTTTTCCTTTGACTTCTTATCTTTCATTGCTTCTAAATAGGTTTTCTACCATTTTTTTTTAATTTTTGCTCCAGCACAATGAGTTAAGTCCAGTAATGACAGAGTAGAGTCCAGCAAAGAGACAAATAAGGCCCTAGGTTTGAAGATCATAATAAAACAAGGGTTTTAAAAATTGTGCAAACCTTGAAAATAAGACAAAATGAGGACTCCATGTTCTTTCACTGCCACATTGGAGCATGAACTGATAGATCCATTCATGCATTCTGCAACTATATCAGGGAACATACTAGTGTTTGACTTGCTATTTATTATTTATTAGGGCCAAGATTCTATAAAGTTCCATGTTCATGTTAAGTGATAGATTTTTACCCAGTTTAAAAGCAAATTATTTTTGTACAGTAGAAAAGATAACCCCAAAGATTATGGTATTATTACCCTGTAGGACTCTACATTAGGAAACTTATCTCAATATAACTTTCCTGAGGGACTTACTAACCAATTTTCTAATTAACTTTTTAACCAGATTTAGTACCATACTGGTTTCCTCATAAGTTAAATAAGCTTTTGACATATGCTTACTCTATATGTTTATAAATGTCAGGGAAGTTAGTGGTATTTTTCTTTAAGATCTTGTCCATTCCAACAACTGTATTAGTCCATTTTCATACTACCATGAAGAAATACCTAGGACTGGGTAGTTTATAAAGAAAAAGAGGTTTAATGGACTCACAGTTCCACATGGCCAAGGGAGGCCTCACAATCATGGTGGAAGCCAGAGGAGGAACAAAGGCACATCTTAATGGCAGCAGGCAAGAGTGTGTGTGCAGTGGAATTGCCTTTTATAAAACCATCAGATCTCATGACACTTACTATTATGAGAACAGAATGGCAAAAACCCATTCCATGATTCAGTGACCTCCCAGTGGGTCCCTCTCACAACATATGGGGATTATGGGAGCTACAACTCAAGATGGGATTTGGGTGGGGACACAGGCAAACCATATCAACAACTTTCTCAGTTCACTGTAAATATTAGAATTATGTTAGCCATAGCTTCATAGGGAGAGTTAGGGAGAGTCAAAATACAACAATGGAAAGTTAAAAACGTAATGAAAAAGAAAGATCTGTGTATGTAGCTGCACTAACATGTGTTTTTACAACTCAGTTGTACAGAAATGTTAGTCTGTATTGAACTCAACTTGCTCACAAGCCTCTTTTTCCTCTAAGTAGCAGAAAATACTTAATCTTGCCAATTCAAGGTAACTAAGTAATGTTCAGTTGAAAGTAATCTTTTGGGAAATTATTCAGTATGTTAAGGAGTTAAACTCAGTCAACTCAAAATGTAATCATCTTAACAAGGGCTTTCTTCAAGTCTCAAGCATCTTCTCCTTCCTCTCTACTTGGATTGATATGGAATAAAGGGAAAAACTGATTTCATGCCATGGATGCAAGGAAGTCATTTCTAGTCCAAAGTCTGTCCTCTGAGATCTCAATGGATTCTGTTCAGTGTACTGCTGAAATAAATGGTCCCAATAAAGTGTTTGACAGCAACTTGAGGGCCTTACTACCAAAGATTTGATGTCCACTTCTTGTCCTGAAACCAGGACTCTTGTGGTCTCCCAGTCTGATCAGTGTTTGCATTTATGCTACAAGAAATTCTGAGTATTCTCCCTCTAAGCTTAGGTTGCAGGAAAACAGCTGTATTTGTTCAGACCTTTGGTCTGCCTCCATACTCCAAGTCAACATTGGAAGCTGATTCCTCCAAGAATTGCAGGTATAAGTATATGGACCTTCTGCCCTTTTACTTCTTTGGTGTTTCGCTCTCCAACCCTGAGGTTTTATCCACAAGGATAGATCTCAGAATTCTTGTTCTCCTTTCTCTTTCTCCAGCTTCTTTCCTGGCTTAAAATGGGCTTCTCTCAGCCGGATGTAGTGACTCACACCTGTAATCCCAGCACTTTAGGAGGCTGAGACAGGCAGATCACTTGAGGTCAGCAGTTCAACATCAGCCTGCACAACATGGTGAATTCCTGTCTCTACTAAAAATACAAAAATTAGCCAAACATAATGGACACATGGCTGTAATCCCAGCTACTTGGGAGACTGAGGCAGGAGAATCACCTGAATCTCGGAGGCAGAGGTTGCAGTGAGCCAAGATGGTGCCAATGCACCCCTGCCTGGCAACAGAGTTAAGACTGTCTCAAAAAAAAAAAAGAGGGGGGCTTCTCTTTCCTCTCTTCTTGGAAGACAACTGCTCTTTCTCCCAACTTCCCTTTTCTTGGCTTAACTTTTATAAAATCTTAGCTCTGATCTAGCTTCAACTTCTTGGAATCCAAACATCTATTCTTTTCTCTACAAAGCCTGGATCTTATAAGATAAATACATTGATGCCTTGGCTTTCAAACTATTGTATTTCGAATATATTTCAAGCACTTAGTTTGAAAGGTGAAAAAAAGATCAATGTCATCTTTGTTCTCAGCTGGATTCAGTCCTTCGCAGTGTCAATGGATGCCTTGGCCTCAATGGATTGTGATCTTTGGTAAGAAAAGAATGACCTATAATTTTTTAAAAGTTAGATATTTCAAGATATGTCTTATTTTACCTGCCACCTTCTAATTTAAATAAGATTCACCTCTCATTCTGACCTTTTATAGAAAAAATAGCAAATAGTATGTAAGAAAATTACATACGAGTAGAAATTATGAAGACTAACTTGTACATCCCCTCTCTCCTCCTTTGCATTGCTGCTTCATCTCTGATTTTTGTCTTTTAATTTATCCTTTCCCATTCAGTTACTTATTCTGTGCACCCCCACCTTTTTTTTTTCATCTCTTGCTCCCAACATTAGAGTTGGTCCTCAGGAACCTCAGGGGATTAGGCCAAGTGAAAATCATCACTATAGCACAAGTCGAAGTTAAGAAATTTATAGCATTGTAAAAAGTTGTGGTTTTATGACCATGGACCAATAAAGAAAAATTTTATAAACATTACTACTTTATTAAGATTAAAAACAAAAGCTCACAAAAATGTTAAGATACCAACTATATTAAATTAAAAATGAGTACAGTCTTATTAACGTTCATTTTCCTTTGTTGCTAATGAAAAGGTTTTCAGAATTTCCTCTTTCCTTAGTCTGAAAAGAAACTTGTGTAACAAAGTGGAGAAATTTTGTTTTCATCAGATTTCCATTTAGCAAAGAAATTTTATGTGGCTAGGAAAGTGCTCACATAGAAGATGGTATCTCAAAATGCCAAGGTGCCCAAAATATAGGTAACTGTGATACATATGGTGATTTAAAAAAAGGACAAACAGAAAGCTCCCATTAACTTCCATCACGTTTCATGCCTCATCTGCTTACCATCTAAAATTGATATTGTCTTCTAAGGCACAAGACCATTTTGCTCTTCTGCCTTTATTATCCCCAAGATTTTCCTATACATGCTTCTGCTTTTTGTCTTCTCATAAACGCTCTATAATCACTATAACCTTTCTAGACCCAATTCACAACTCCCATTCATCTATACCTCAAATTTATGCATATTGGGGCCAAAAATCTCTGGGTTGCTGCAATAAAAACAAAAAATTTTACACTTCCCAGAATTTCTTATATTGCATACAAAGATCAAGTTATGAGTTACTGTATTACTGGACTGAAAAGGAGCTAATGAAGTATGAAGACCTAAAAGAAAATTTTCACTTCATTAAAAAAATCTACAGTACAAAGGAAGAAAAACAATTTTAGAGGTAGGTTATAGATTTGATATTTGGGTCACGTCACTATTCTGTCTTGTGACCTCTCAAATCATAGCAGCTGGCCGAATTTTTTTAGAAATTTAGAAGTTGGCTGTGATTAGGGGTCAGTAGAAGGGAAACAGATCAAAAAATAATGTAAGATGCTTTAAGATAGTCTTATCCTTGCCATTTGCTTAATAGATTCTTCACATATTTCATATCTTTTCTAATAACGGGGTAGAATTAATGAGTTCTCCCAAAATTCAGTACTTCTGGCAATTTGTGCTTTGCGAGTCCTTCCCATACTGAATTGGGACTGGGTTTATATGATCAGTGAAATATGGGAGAATGATCCTCCATGACTTTTGGAGTTAATTCATAAAAATCCCTGCAGTTTCTGCCTTGGATTCTAGGAACAGGGTGTCTGGAAACTCGGAGCCACCTAGAAGTTATACTACCCTCAGACTGCCATGTTACAAAGGCTGCTAAAACTTGGAGCAGTTTGCTACATAGTAATAAATAACTAGGTCAACCGGTACATATAATTTTAAGAAACTTTCCAAATATACTGCATATCTGAATACAATTCATTATAATAATTATGTTGGTTTCTCCAATTAGCTTCAGCTTAAAGCTTTTTCAACTATTCAGTTATCCGTTGCTTTATCTATTCTCTGCCTTTCTTTTAATAAGTTACTTATACCATTTTTACAATGGTAGATTAGCTTTATTACTAGAAGCACGTGGGTCTATCAATGAAAGTGGTATTTATATTGGCTTGTAAATTAGGGAAAGGGAGTACCCAAAGCCACCTTGATACTTAGAAAGCAACATAACATCATTTGTTATGGGTTTGAAAGACCACAGCAGCTTTCAGAGATGTAAGCAGTTAAATATGGCTGGAAGGAGGGGAAGGTGATCAGAGGCTGACACGAGGTATCTAGCCTCTCCTGCTTTGGAAGTGGTCTGAAATTTAGCCTACAAGCACGAAGGATCCACTGAAAGGATTTAAAGTTATATAATCTTATTTCATATTAGAAAGATAGCTTTGAGAGATTTTAGGCCAAAATACTGGATTAATCACATGCTACATGATTACTAGCCCCAATTCCAAAACACTACAAATTCCTGCAAAGGCAAGAAAACTAATAAACATTGCCATTGATTTCATGGAAAATAAGAAGAGGCTGGGCGCAGTGGCTCATGCCTGTAATCCCAGCACTTTGGGAGGCCAAGAGGATAGCCTGAGCCCAGGAGTTCAAAACTTGCCTGGACCATATAGTGAGCTCTCCACGGAAACAAAAACAATTAGCCAGGTGTGGTGGCACATGCCTGTATTCCCAGCTACTAGGTAGACTGAAGTTGTGGGGATCACTTGAGCCTGGGAGATCAAGGTTGTAGTGAACCATGACTGCTACTGCATTCCAGCCTGAGTAACAGAACAAGACCCTGTCTCAAAAAACTAAAAACAAAAAGACAAGAAGAGTTCCAATAAGGACAACTCAGATTATCCCAGTTCTCTACCACTATAAGATATAATAAACATCTCCATATATGTCCCTTTATTGACCTAGATCACATCTTGTATTTCATTCAAGCAAGAAAATTCTAATTCTAAGCACCATTTTTTTTCAGCTCTAGGAAATGCAACCGTCAATTTTCACTCCTTTAATCCTCCCCATTCTCTAAACTCCATGGCTCTTGTATAAGATCCAGGAAAGAGAAAGGAAATTATAGAAAAAAATGAGAACAGATTAATGTTTTAATAGATTCTCCTACCTCCCTCTAAGTACCAAAAACAAATGTCTGCTGGAAGCGTTGAAGGGTGTAAAAATTATTTCAGAAAATATTTTATGCCAGGAATATAAGGCAATAGAGAAAGTAATTAAATAATTATGACAAATAATTTCATCTACATATTCTGTGACATTTTTGTGACAAAATATACCTTGAAAGTTTCAACATAGAATATCCATATTATGATAAATTTAACTGGGTCATCAATTAGTTATAAAAAAAGATTATTAACAATAAATGTTCCATAGAATAAAATTTACCTGTAAAAGATTATTTAGGTTAGTTTTTGCTAGGATAAACTTGTGAGCCATTATATTTCTCAGTTACTTCTATAGGGCATCATCTCCAAATCTGGTCAGTAAAATACTGGGAGCAAACTCTCATTTTTAGTGTGTTTATAAATTACACACATTAACAAAACTTTATGTCCTTATTTTTTATAAAAACAAATACCTATAGAAGTTATGTTTTCTTCTCGTATGCCAATAGACCGTTTTACTTTCAGGGTCCATATACCCGCTTAGTGACTACTGATTTAGGGCAGGAGAAAACAGACTATGGCCCATGAGTCCTATCTGGCCCAAAATCTGATATTATAAATAAAATTTTATTGCAACTCAGCCACACTCATTCTTTTTTGTTTGCCTCTTGCACCACAATGGTAGAGGTGAATAGTTGCAATCAGATTGTATGTACTGCAAACTCTAAAACATTTACTTTCTGGTTTACAATGCTTGATCTAGATTTAACTGATCTAGATCAATTAAAACTTTGATGTACAGACAGGTATGGTGTTGTGGGCCTGTAGTCCCAGCAACTTGGGAAGCTAAGGTAGGAGAAATGATTGAACCCAGGAGTTTGAGGCTCTATTGTGCTATGATCATGCCTATGAATAACCAAGGCACTCCAGCCTGGGCAATATAGCAAGACCCTAACTCTTAAAATAAATAATAATGAGGCTATTTTGGGGGGAAAAAAATCAACTCTGAAGCGAAAGTGTAAGATTGACCATAATCTTTTTAAATTGGGTGAAACAAATATTAAATAATTTTGTTCAATAAACATAAACTAATAATATAGATGCAATTTCAGTCATCACATAGTACTTGATTGACTCCAAAGTGGATAAACCTATATATTGCTATTTTATAGATGATTTGTATATTTTATTTGATGTGAATAAGAAAGTAATATCGTATAGTTGAATGAGCACAGAACTCAGCATCAAATACCTGAGTTTATGCTCTGCTTTCATTACTAATAGCCCTAAGATCTTAAGGAACTTCTTAGAATTTCGGTTTCCTCCTCTTTAAAATAAGAATAATGGCTGGGCACAGTAGCTTATGTCTGTAATCCCAGCACTTTGGGAGGCTGCGGCAGAAAGATCAGCTGGGGTCAGGAGTTCGAGACCAGCCTGGCCAACATGGCAAAACTACGTATCTACTAAAAATACAAAAATTAGCCGGGCGTGGCGGCATGCACCTGTGATCCCAGCTACTCAGAAGGCTGAGGCAGGAGAATCACTTGAACTCGAGAGGCGGAGGTTGCAGTGAGCTGAGATCGTGCCACTGCATTCCAGCCTGGGTGACAGAGGGAGACTCCATTTCAAAAAAAAAAATTAATTGAAAATATTCTACTTTTTAAAATTGCTGTCAACATTGAGAGAAAATAGATACTAAATCTGAAAGTAATTTATAATAATTTATATTCGATTGGAATTAGACCTTTTGAGATATATAAAACAAGAATTATTCAACTTCATAAGAGTGCCATCTGCCCATTCTCACCAATAGTTGAACAATATGTATGTGTAAAACACTATTAGAAATTGTAAGAAATCATATATAACTTATGTCACTTCCATATGTATGTGTGTATATGTATGTTATCCTCATATATAATCATACATATAATCTGCTGTTCTACAGGATGCTAATATTCTAAACTTTAAGACTTTCAACTAATCAACTGAAAAATCAAATGGTAAGAGTTGAAAGTAAGAGGGATAATGTGTTGTCATGTTATAGTGCGTTGGATTGTATCCCTCAAAAAGATACGTCCACATCCTCATCCCTAGAGCCTGTGTATGTGACCTTATTTGGGGGAAAAAAAAAAAATTCTTTGTAAATGTCGTTAACTTAAGGATCTCAAAATGGGATCATCCTTGATTTTGGGTGGACCCCGAATCCAATGATAGTTGTCCCTTTAAGAGAAAGGCAGAGAGATTTGAAGCAGAGATAAAAGAGAAAAGGTCCTATGAAGACAGAGGCAGAGAGTACAGTTATTCTATGACAAGACAAGGAACACTAAGAACCATCAGAAGCTGGAAGGATTCTCCTCTGGATATTTTGGAGGGAGCATGGCCCTGCCAACACCTTGAGTCTGAACTTTTGACCTCCAGAACTGTGAAAAAATAAACTTCTATTTTTTAAGCCATCATATTTGTGGTAATTTGTTACAGCAGACTTAGGAAACTAATGAACACTGCATGGTTTCATTCTGTTCTGTTTAAAATACTAAATAAAAGTTTGAAATAGCTACATCAAAATGTCTAAGAGAAACACTTAAATAGGCAGAATGTTACCTGTGTGACAAGTATTTATCACTGAAATCTCAATTAGGTCCAAACAGGAAAGATTACAGTTGAAGGAGGATCAGTGGGTACTTAGAAAAAGAACATGTTTAAAGGAAGGCATATTAAAATGAAGACTTTTATAGAATTTTAAAACAAGAAAAAAGTAAAAGCTTTGATCAAGCCAAGAAGAAAAAGGGCAGATACACTTTTATGACACTGAAATTTCAGTGCTATTAATAGACAGTGTTAATAATGTAGGGTTTGAATATGTATAAGCCCATTTTTTTAATTTTAAAGAGATCCTTTTTAACAAATGTACAATTTTAAGCATAAAAGGGAATGTTTTTGGCATAGCTATAATAATGAAAATTTTTTCCATTCAGTTATGTTCAACATAAGCAAGGCTTTTGCTAGGAAAAATTAATGATTTATTTGAAAGGAAAAGATGGGCATAAGGACTTTAAAGCATATTATAAAAGGCAAATTTTATTTGAAACCAATCAGACTTTAGCAAGTGAGCAGAAAAGAGTGAAATGGAGTTGGTTTAACAAAGGCTTCTGAGGTCACCAAAACAAATTACTGGACAGTGACTTGGCCACTCCTTTTCTCAGTGAAAAAGACACTGATTACAGAAATATCATAAAGGTGATCTAGCAGAAGAGAAAACATAATATGGATTTGCCAGGTTAAATCTCCATCCCCTTTAAAAAATACAGTGAGACAGAATCCAATTTAAATATGAGTCATTGAACAATTACAGTTAAAGAAGGATGAAGAGAAAAAGAGGAAGGAAATGAGAATGAAGGACAGGGAAGAGAGAAATGGAAAAATGATAAGATCTGTAACTGGAGGTCTAAGCATGTGGCCTCATCTTGTTATTCATAAATGAAGGAGAGAGAAATGTCACATGGCTGGAAATAATTTCTTGAGGGGCAAAGCGAAATATTAAGAGATTTTCCCATTGCAAATAAGGCAATTAAAACTATTCAATTTGACAAAGCGTTGGACCCAGTTGAATTACACCATAATTCAGGAGGAAAAAAAAAAAGAGTAGCAAGGGAAATAGAGAAGCCTGTGGCAAAACTCTTTGATAGCTCAATAAGAAAAGAATAAAGCAAGCAGTCATATTTGAGTCACTAATAAGCAATCTCAGATTTAGCAAAAGAAAATCATTAAAAGAACTAGTTTTTCCAACTTCAATTATTAAGCACAGGAATAAAGATTCTCTCAAATGTATGCATTAGTGATTTACCTAAGAGAATTGATATGAATTTAGGAATTTAAGATTTATTTTTATTCAGATTCAAGGCGGCACTTAATTTTACAAGAAAGCCATCTAACAATAATAGAAACCCAATAGTGAATGAAGCACCCCAAGTCATTCTGGATGTGAAGACTAATGACACCATATTTCACAAGCTGATTAATAATAACCAGTAAATATAAGTAGTATCACTTAAGATATTCATATTTTGTTACAGAAAAATGTTTTTTATTCACAGAAAAATCTCATAACTATTTAATGCAACTAGTACACTTTTCATGGAGTACAAAAATTTTAATCCTATACCCTCAACCTACCCATAGATCACTCCCCCTTTGCTTGCTGTTCCCAATTGGTACTCCAAAGATTCTGTGTCACTCTCTGCAATGCCGTAAAGACATTTCAGCCTCATCCTAGCTATACTGCTACAATTACCACTGAATCCAGCCAAGCATTTAAAGCAGAAGGGCCCTTTATATAAGTTCTCCCCAATACCCCTATCTTTTATTCTTCCTTCTGTGTGGTTTTGTATCATCCAGACTTCAAGGGTCTATCTACTTCCTAACATGGAAATGAGCACATCAAAAGCATGAATGAGTGTAACTGCAGTATTCAAGGGACGTTTAAGTATTCCAGAAAGGCAGAACACCTTGACCAAAGCATCTGCAGCCACATGAAGCCAAGCTACCATGATCAGATATTCTGTCCAGTGTCAAAGGAGCATAAAAGTAGAAACCTGAAAGAATGGCATAAGTTACAGAGATATGGAGCCAGATCTACCAGATAATTTAATGAAGTCAGACAATCCAAGAGAAAAATGTGTTTAATGTATGCCTCCCTTCAAAGCAGAACTGTCTTAAAAATGGTGCCATCTCCAGTGATGGCATCCAAGGGTGGATGACCCTTCATAGAGGAAAAAAAAAACACGGATTAAGTAGACACCTGTAAAGCCTCTTCCTGCCCTGAGAGTCAATGCTTCTTTGATTTTCTTATTCAAAGTTAAGGTCAGGCACAATCTATGAACAATTATCATTATGTTATTCACTTCAAATACTTTGCCAATAACCTGGAAGAATGGCTGAAGCTTCTCAAAATTTTAAACTTATATTTTCCTTTTACATTTGAGAAATCTCATAGAAAAGGGCAGAGGACAGAATTTTGCCTCTAGAAGGTCTGAAGTAGGTTTATTGTGCACTGATGATCACTTCAGCCCACTGCATCTTGGGCTGCACTTTTATGACTTGTCCGAGTCTGGTAAGACAGAACATTCACACATACACACACACACACACACACACACACACACACACACACACACACACACAGACACACACACACACGTTATATAAACTAGGTTTATTACTTATACAGGAGCAGCAAGGGACAGCAGAAGTCTAGGATTCAGGGAAAGCGGGTCCCCCAAGGCTGAAGAAAGCTTCCTACTTATACTGTGCCTCACTTATACTGCAGCTGAGGGACCATGGAAAGCAGCCCACCCTGAGTTTTATACTCAGGGGAGATGAAGCACACTGGGCAAAAGCATTGAAGAACATCCTGTTTCAGCGGGCGGCAGAATGAAGCCCAGGCTGTTCCAGCCAGCTCCTGCTTATCTCAGGATGTTGCATCCAAGCACATTCTACAGATTCTCTTAAGAACTACAGGAGGAATTGGGGAGAACTGAGTCAGTCCAGGGATACCCACAGAACTGTCCTGCAGGAAGAACTGCACATGTGATACCCTAGCATTTATTTTCCAGAGCTGTTAAATGGGGATATTTTATAATATTCCTTGAGTCGTCACTATATGGTTCAATTTATAAATATGTAATTCACTAGTAAATTTGCATCAATAATGAAGTATTTCTTTTCAATTTGACTTTAGCAAAAATAGATGCATGTTAATCTTATTAAATTATGCTACAGCAACCAACAGTCTCAAAATCTCAGAAGCTTAAATACAGCAAAGATTTATTTCTCATGCACATGAGGTCATTGTGCCAGGTGACTCTCCAGGGCAACAGTTCTCCATGCAGTAACTCAGATCTAGGATAATCTATATGTTATCATATATAATACACACACACACACACACACACACACACACAGACACACACACAGACACACACAGACACAGACACACAGACACACAGACACACACACAGACTCAGAGGGAGGGAGAGAAGAGAGACATTCAGGAGTATACATAGAAATATATGTATAATATTCATTTACCAATAGCTTTTCTTCAATGAAAAGTTGGAATTTTCAGTAGGAAAGATTTAACTATTAGAAAATTTTAAGTAGGTGCAAACAGTCCTTGCTTGAATGTTGAACTATAATCTTAAAAATTACAGAAGCTATCGAGATAGTTCAAATATCCATTTTTTTCCTTTTCTAGTTTTACTAGTGAAGACGTACCTTTTAGACTTATACCTCTGACAACATTGATTTAATCTCCCTTTTGCTACCAGAATATATTGACATTTTAAATCTAGGAGGAAAAAGAACTACTGAGTTGATTTACAAAGATGTCACATCAGTAAGAAAAATGAGCATCTCTGATCCTCCTCCTCTCCTAATTCCTTCTACTTCCTCATCACTTTTTTTTTTTCATATGAAGATCATCCTAGTGGCTTGAAGTTGCCCAGCCTGGGACTTCCTCTGATAATCCAACTCAGGCTAGATGAAATCAAATTTTACAGGAGACAATGTCTTCACAGTAGCCCATCTTGTAAGCCTTTCCTTAAAAAGAACCATTTGTCTTTGAAGTGCTTTCATTCTAAGAAAACTTTCATTTTTATGGCTTTAGAGGAGCACTCTCCTTGGCAAAGTCTGGTATACTGATACACAAAATCATAGTATCTGAACCAAGCCCCTCCATTCAGCACTGGTAATAACTGTTCATTGTGGAGAGTCAAATATGCTCTAGGTACGCCGAGCTAGATACTCTTTTCATAGAATCTCTTTTAATGTTTAAAACAGCATAGGAAGGTATTGCAATGGAGGTTCTTTTCAGCTCTTCCTAAAGTTGGAGAAACTGAGCCTGAGAGTGGGTTCAGAGACTGCTCAAGATCCCGTGATAGCGCTGGGGATCTAATCCAGGGAAATCTGACTCCAACAAAACACAAGATCTTTCCACTGTATTTTAACAGGGAACAACTGTTTCAGTAAAACTGCTTTACTGTTTTCTATTATTACATATTCAAAGACTGTCTGGAGACATTTTTCTTTGTTTTTTTTTTCGTTCTTTTTGGAGAAGGGGTGAGGGAGGGGTCCAGGGGAAGAGCCTCAGGTAACAACTGTACTACATCTGCCTGAGGTCAGTTCTTCCTGAGCCCTATAGACCAGTTATTAAAATGAAATGTAAAGGCAACAATCTATTTCTCTTTTCTTGCCTTAGTCTGTTTAGGCTGCCATAGCAAAATACCTTAGACTGGTAATGTACCCACAAATTCATTTCTTACAGTTGTGGAGGCTAAAATGTCCAGGATGAAGGTGCTGGCAGATTTGGTGTCTGGTGAGGACCCACTTTCTGGTTCCTAGATGGCACCTTCTTGCCGCATGCTCACATGGTGGAAGCGTCAAGCGGCCTCTCAGACCTATTTTATAAAAGCAGTAATCCCATTCATGAGGGCATCACCCCCATCACCTAATAATCACCTCCCACCTTGGGAGTTAGGATTTCAACATAGAAATTTGGAGGGGACACAAAGACCATAGCATCTTTAAGTTGTGAAAAATAGTTTTCTTTCAAAATCACTTACATAGATTAAATGCTGGCATTCACAAATATGTCATTTCTATAAGTCAGGCATCATCAGAATCAGCAACCACAAAACAGTGCACAGGCAGGCTTGCCTCACATCTCCACGAGCTGTCTCACATGCACCTCTGCTCTCACTTGTTAAAGCACCTGAGCCGTCATACAGACCCTGGTGTGGGTTATGACAGCTAATAACCAGGGGCAGCTCTCCCTCCCACCACATGAGCTTTTCTGTTGAGTTTGTTTCAAGAAAACATCTCAAAAGGAATTCTTAGATCCAAACAGGTAGTTATTATGCAAACATTGTAATACAGCCTAGTAAAATCTCAGTGAAGAATGCTATTACCTGTCCTGAGATCATGGGACAAGAATCCATCAAAAACATGGTAGTGGGGAGGGAGTGTTACCAGGCCATTTCTAGCAATATCTTTCTTATTTTTAATTACTAGATGAGAAGGAGAAACATCCACATGAAAATGCATGCCAGTGTTTCTAGGTGAACAAAATGACAAAAGCCATAATTGAGACACAGAAGCCATCTTGTCACAGTGTGCAGAGCTGTGTGGAAAAGCAGCAGCCACATGGGAAAGACAAAACCTGATATATCCCACCCCTCAAAATAAGAACCTTATCTCCAGCTGGGCACAGCAGCTCACGCCTGTAATCCCAGCACTTTGGGAGGCCGAAGCAGGTGGATCACTTGAGGTCAGGAGTTCAAGACCAGCCTGGCCAAGATGGTGAAACCCCATCCCTACTTAAAAAAAAAAAAAAAAAAATTAGCCAGGCATGGTAGCACGTGCCTGTAATCCCAGTTACTCAGGAGGCTGAGGCAGGAGTATTCCTTGAACCTGGGAGGCAGAGGCTGCACTGAGCCAAGATTGTGCCACTGCACTCCAGCCTGGGTGACAGAGTGAGACTCCATCTCAAAAAAAAAAAAAAAAAAAAAAAAAAGGAAACCTTCTCTCTTCTCCCTTTTGTATAACACTACAGTAAGTGGTGAAACACTAGAAAGTGAGCTTTTTTTACTGCTCAACTTAAGGGAATTTCTGAAAATTATAAATTTAATTTTACAATGTCCGAGTCCACCTGAGTTTCAGGGAAGAATGATTATACTCACTAATTTTCCCTCCATGAGCAGGCAGATCTAGAAGAGTTGAGAGCCTTTCTCCTTAGACTCAAAATGAAATTTACCAGGTAGAGTTACAGGAAGAGCAATGACTAAATCAAAACTGACACAGGACAGTAAGATGACTATTTAAAAAATTTTGTGACTCATGAATGCTTTATAGTTGAGAGTATTTCAAATATATTTAATGCAGTTGACAATCACCTTTTGAAGTCTATATTATTCCAAGTTCACTGAGGAAATAAGTTAAAAAAAAGTCAAAAGGCAAATGTGACTTGCCCTGTGTCACGCTGTTACCACATGATGAATGTGAGACTTAAATCAAGGTTTCTAGACTCTATACCCCGTACAATTGGAATGGCGTTAAGTCATATCACTGAGAAAAGGAAAATATGATAGCTAAATAAAACTTCATGTGGAATCAGGTTGGATAAAGGTAAATCTGTCCACAAATATGCAGGGTGAACTTGATCTCCATTTCAATTCATTCTTTCCCTTTTCAGTATGACTCCGAGTTCCAGGACCACAGAACAATTTTAGTTTTAGTATTCAATTGTAATTTAAAAGTTCTTAAAACAAGGCCTGGCGCAGTGGCTGATGCCTGTAATCCTAATACTCTGGGAGGCCGAGGCAGGCAGATCACTTGAGGTCAGGAGTTTGAGACCAGCCCAGCCAACATTGTGAAACCCCATCTCTACTAAAAATACAAAAAAAAAAAAAAGAAAAAAAAATTAACCGGACATGGTGGCGGGCACCTATAAAATCCCAGCTACCTGGGAGGCTGAGGCAGGAGAATCCCTTGAATCCTCGAGGTGGAGGTTGCAGTGAGCCGAGATTATGCCACTGCACCCCAGCCTGGACCACAGAGTGAGACTCCATCTCAAAAATAAAAAATAAAAAATTCTGAAAACATATGTGCATCTTAGTCATGAGACATATTAAATATAGTGAATAAGAACAGTGGCAAAGTAGCAGGAAAAATTGGGGATGGCTTTCTTTTCTAAAATCCTGGTCTTCCTCAAACCGTGCATACATCTCAACAGAGCCATCCCCTCCTCAGAGACTGTGGCTCTGAAGTGGACAGCAGGCACATGCTCCAAACTGAGATCATCTGGAGCATCTGTGTAGTCAGCTGTGTTTCTTTTTTCCTGAGGCTCCTTGTTCAGGATAAGAAATTTTGTGGACAGATGAAAAAAAGCTGCCTTGGCACTTCTGAAATGTGCTGAACCACAGCAGATAAACAGCTAAACTATCGGAGTCAAGTCTCCAGAGAAAATACAATTCCCAGCCCTGGAAAACAGAGCGCGTTACAAAAGCCAGGCAAGAGACACTCTCTTAGCCAAGTAAACAATGACATTCAATACATATGTTCTGTGTACTTTTGCTGGATAGAAATGGAATCATTTCAGATTCACTATTGCCATCTCAGCAACTAACATCCAGAAAGGGAAGGACAGTGACTGAAGTTCCTAGAAAAAGAGAATTGAGTTGGATGCATCCCTAATGGTGCAGACCAAGAGGCAGGGTCACAACCTAAAGCAAGAACAAGTAAGTCAACAGTAGTTACTCAGCTTGTCAGCTTATCCTGGGGCTATCCAACATTTCCATTTCTTTCCTGTGAACGGCTCTCTACCCCAGCTATTCACAAACTTTTGAGTCTCAGGCTACCTTTACACTCTTAAAAATGTTTGAGGCTAGGTGCGGTGGCTCACGCCTGTAATCCCAGCACTTTGGGAGGCCAAGGTAGGCAGATCACAAGGTCAGGAGTTCAAGACCAGCCTGGCCAATATGGTGAAACCCCGTCTCCACTAAAAATACAAAAATTAGCTGGACGTGGTGGCAGGTGCCTGTAATCCCAGCTACTCAGGAGGCTGAGGCAGAAGAATCACTTGAACCCGGGAGGCAGAGCTTGCAGTGAGCAGAGATCACGCCACTGTACCTCACTGTACTCCAGCATGGGCGACAGAGTGAGACGCCATCTCAAAAATAAATAAATACAGGTTTGAAGACCCCTAAGAGCTTTGGCTTATATTGGTTATATCAATTTACATTTAGCATTAGAAAATAAATTTTAAATATGTATTTATTCATTTAAAAATAATAAACCCATTATATGTTCATTTAAAAGTCTATTTTTTAAAAACTATATTTCCCTAAATATAGTAAGAATGGTAACATTGGCTTACCTTTTTGCCAATCTCCTTAATGTCTAGTATAAGAAAAAGTAGCTAGATTCACATATCAGCTTCTAGATTCCATCTGTTGCAATATTGTATGTCATCTACCCTCTAGAAAACTCCATTCTACACCCATGAGACTAGGAGAGTCATAATAATGTCTTAGTATTATTTTTAAAGGTTTTGACCCCATGGCCCCTCAAACAGTTGCTGGAACCCTCAGGTATTTCCTGGATCACACTGAGAACCACCATCGTACACTTTCCCTTACACTGAGGGAATCACAGAAGAGCAGGTTTGCTTCCCTTTTTCAGTTAACTAACTCAGTCAAAAATAAAATTTGAAAACAAAAAGTTGCATTTAGTTACATTTTCGATTAAAACATGCTCAAAACCTGACTCCTTCACTCACCCACTGAGTAGGCATGAGGAAGTTTCTAGGGCCTCATTTCGTTGTCTATAAAAGGGATCTAAAATACCTTTCACGTTGGGCTGTTGTGAAGGTGAGAACAAAAATCTCCTGCCACAAAGTAGGCACTTGAAAATGGCACTTTGTTAATATTGAAAACTCCAGAAGGCCCAATCCAGGCCTGGCTGGAAGGAAGGTTCTAAGTCCTGTGACCCTGTGTCTAACCTCAGGGGTGTCTGCAGACTGAGCTGCAGGGTCAACCCTCCCTGTGACGTTAATTCCAACAATTGTTATGACGAGATAAATGAGAATCTAGCCAAAGAGGGCTCTGCACCAATCCAAGCACCTTGACCTCATTGTAACAATTGTTCGTCAAGTAAGAAGAAACCGGCATTGATGAGGTGCCAATTGCACAATAGAACTAGTCAGGTAACCCTGAGTGAGCTGCATAACTAGCTGGAAGTTAAAGGAAAGGGTACCCGGACCCAATGGCTTTGCCGTGCTGACACTGTCTACATACTCTCAGTCTCATAGTATGTGATTGCTCGTATCTGAATGTGGAGTTACTAAGATATCAGAAACTGTACCTGGGAGTTAGTAGACTTACATTATGCTGTTACTTAAAGTACTATGTTGTTGGTGTCCTGTGCCCTTCACTAAAGCTAGGTTAATGTGATGCTGGGGTCCGTATCATCTCTCTTGAGTTTTAATGTCCACCAAACTCATAAGCACTGTTGCTTCTGGGAGAGTGAACACTGAAAGATTCTGAGTTTATTCATCTACTCTCTTGTTAATGGACATTTAGAATAATTCCAGTTGGGAGCTGTTACAAATAGCACTGCTATGGACACTCTTATTCATGTCTTTTGGTGAACACATGAACGTATTTAGTATGACACACACACATACAGGGTCATCCGTTGGTATACATGGGGATTGGTTCCAGGACCAATTCTGTATCTGCTGATATACCTTAAATCATTTCTAGATTACTTATAATACCTAATGAAATGTAAATGCCACATGGTCATTTTACGGTATTGTTTAGAAAAAAAAAGAAGTCTGTACATGTTCAGTACAAATTTTTCCAAATATTTTTCATTAGCAGTTGGTTGAATTCATGAACATAGAACCTATGGCTATGGAGGGCCAACTATATACATATATTTGGGTGATAAGGTATATTTATGTTCATCCTTAATAAATACTGTCAAAAGTTTCTAAAGTGGTTATTCCAATGTATACCTTTACCAGCAAAATATGAAACTTCCAAATATTTTTTCCTATTAAAATCGGAGGATTTTGTCTACTATTTTATCAGGGCCATATTCTCTACTACTGACTTTCATAACCAACTCAACCATTAGTTGCTAATGCCTATGATACTAATGATGTTAGTACCATCACTGATATCCTAATAAAGAGTTATTGGATTTGCCCCATGTCGTAACCTAAAAAAGGTTCTTAAATGATGAGATGTCAAATATTACATCAGCAGAAACATTATACCTCTAAAACTGGAAAAACAAGAACAAACTAAGCCCAAAGTTAGCAGAAGAAAACAAGTCAGAGCAAAAATAGAGAAAAAATACAAAAAAAAAAAAACCAACAAAACTAAGAGTTGGTTTTTTGAAAAGATAATCATAATCAACAAACCATTAGCTAGACAGAAAAAAAAAGACTCAAATAAATTAAATCAGAAATGAATGAGGAGACATAACTGATATCACAGAAGTGCAAAGGCTTATGAGAGACTATTGGATAACCACCAAATTGGATAACCTAGAAGAAACTGATGAATTCCAAGATACAGACAACATACCAAGAGTGAATCACAACAAAATAGAAAACCTGAACAGGCCAATAATGAGTAAGGAGATTAGATCAGTAATAAAAAGTTTTCCATCAAGGAAAAGCCCAGAACCTGACGGCTTCACTGCAAAATTCTAACCAACACTTAAAGAAAAACTAATACCAATCCTTCTCAAACTAATTCAAAAAACGACCAAGAGGGAATACTTCCAAACTCATTTTATGAGGTCTGCAATACCCTGAGAGTGAAGCCAGACAAGAAAACTACAAAAAAAGAATATTACAGGACAAAATCTTTGAATATAGATGCAAAAATCCTCAACAAAATACTAGCAAACCAAATTCAGTAGAACATTAAAAGGATCATTCACCATGATCTAGACGGACTTATCCAGGGATGCAAAGATAGTTTAATATATGAAAACCTATAAATGTGATAAGCCACATGAACAGAATGAAGAAAAAAATATTTCAATAAATGTAGAAAAATCATTGGACTAAATTTGACATCCTTTCATAATAACAATTGTCAACAAATTATATGTAGAAGGAATGTACCTCAACACAATAAAGGCCACATATCACAAACTGACAGCTAATAGACTCAACAGTGAAAAGTTGAACACTCTTCCTCTAAGATAAGGAATAAGGTAAGGATGCCCACTTTCACCACTTCTTTCAACATAGTACTAGAAGTTTTAGCCAGAGCAATTAGGCAAGAGAAATTAGTAAAAGGTATTCAAATTGGAAAGGAACAAGTTAAATTATCCCTGTTTGAAGATGACCTATTTATATTAAAAAAAAAAAAAACCCTAAAGAGTCCACCAAAAAACTCTTAGGACTAGTAAATTCAGTAAACTTACAGAATTTAAAGTCAACATACAATAAGCGGCATTTCTATACACTGATAACAAATTATCAAAGAAACTAAGAAAATAATCTTATTTACAATAGCTACAAAAAAAACACCCAGGAATAACTTTAATAAGAATGTAAAAGATCTGTATACTGAATACTACAAAATATTAACAAAATTGAAGATACAAATGGGAAGATATCCCATGTTCATAAATTGAAAAAAAAAACATAGCTAAAATATCCATACTACCCAAAGTGATCTATGGATTCACTGCAAACCCTATCAAAATTTCAATGACATTTTCCACAGAAATAGAAAAACATTCTAAAATTTGTGTGGAACTACAAAAGACTCCAAATAGCCAAAGCAATCTTGAGCAAAAAGGACAAAGCTGGAGGCATCACACTACCTGACTTCAAAATATACTACAAAGCAATAGTAATCAAAACAGCATGGTACTGGAATAAAAACAGATATACAGATCAGTGAAGCAGAATATGAAGCCCAGAACTAAATTCATGCATTTACAGTCAATTGATTGCCAAGAGCACATAATAGAAAAAGAAGTCTTTTCAATAAACAGAGTAGGGACAACTGGATATCCACAAGCAGAAGAATGAAATTAAATGCTTATTCACACCATATACTAAAATCAGCTCAAAATGGATTAAGGATTTATATGTAAGATCTGAAACTGTAAAACTAATAGAAGAAAACATGTGGAAAAGTTCCATGACATTGGTATGAGTGATAATTTTTGAATATAAATGCAAAAGTAAAGGCAACAAAAAACAAAAATTAGTAAGTGAAATTACATAATAAAAAGCTCTGCACAGCCAAGGAAACAATACACAGAGTGAAGAAACATCCTATGGAATGGAAGAAATGACTTGTAAACCATACATCTGATAAAGATTATCCAAAATACATAACTAAAACAACAGTAATAAAAGAACTCAATTAAAAATGGACAAAAAAATCTGAATAGACATTTCTCAAAAGAGGATATACAATTGTCCAACTAGCATAGGGAAAAATACTCAAAATAATCAGAGAAATGCAAGTCAAAACCACAACAAGGTATCCCCTCACATCTGTAAGTATGCCTATTATCAAAAAGAAAAATGGTAAGTGTTGACAAGGATACGGAGAAAAGAGAACCCTTGTACACTGTTGGAATGTGAATTAGTATAGCCATTATGGACAATGTGGAGATGTGTTAGGCTATTCTTGCATTGCTATAAATAAATTCCTGAGATTGGGTAATTTATAAAGAAAAAAGGCTTAATTAGCTCACAGTTCTATAGGCTGTACAGGAAGCATAGCTCTGGCATCAGCTTCTGGGGAGGGCTCAGGAAGCTTACAATCATGGTGAAGGCAAAGCAGGAGCAGGGACTTGACCAGATCTCAAGGGAACTCACTCACTCTGGTGAAACAGCACCAAGCCATGAGGAAGGCATCAACTCCCATGACCCAAATACCTCCCATCAGGCCTTACCTCCAGCATTGGGCTTTACAATTCAACATGAGATTTGGGTGGGGACAAGTATTTGAACTATATTAGGAGGCTTCTCAAAAAATTAAACATAGGACTACTGCATGACCCGGCAATCCCACCAATTGGTATATATCCAAAGGAAATGAAATCCATATGTTGAAGAGATATCTGCACTGCCATGTTCACTGCAGCATTATTCACAATAGCCAAGATATGGAATCAACCTAGGTGTCCATCAATGGATGAATGAAAAAAAATTGTAGTACATATAGACAATTAACTACAGTTCAGCCTTAAAAAAAGAATAAAAAGAAAATCTTGTCATTTGAGAACATGGATGAACCTAAATGACACTGTGTTAAGTGAAATAGGCCAGGAAGAAGAAAGCAAGTATCATATGACCTTACATATATGTGGAATCTAAAAAACATTAAATTCATTGAAGTCAAGAGTAGAATGGTGGTTACCAGAGCCCAGGGATGGGAGTGGGGGTATGTTAGTCAAAGGATACAAAATGTCAGATAGGAAGAACCAGTTCAAGAGGCCTACTGTACAACATCATGACTGTCATTAACAACAATATATCATGTTCTTGAAAATTGCTAAGGGTAGATTTTAAGCGTTTTCACCACAAAAGGTGTGTGTGAGATAATGCATATGTTAGTTTTCTCAATTTAGCCATTCCACAATGTATGCATATTTCAAAACAGCATGTTGCATGTAACAAACATACACAATTTTTGTTTGTCAAGTTAAAATTAAATAAAAGCCTCAAAAAAGAGAAATCAGTAGGAAAAGAGGATCCTGAAGTTCCAGTTCCCAAATCATATGGTCAGATCTTCTATCTCTTTGCAACAAATGTAAGCCAGTTTCAGACCCTTGGTGTTAGGACAGAGCCACAGAGCTAAGGTTATTCAATATAGCCTGGAGCCTTGCACTCGGAAGTGTGGTCCTCAGACCAACAGCACCGGCCTCACCTAAGCACATCTTAACAATACAGCATCTCATCAGGCCACCCCAGACCTACTAAATCAGAATCTTTATTCAGCAAAATCTGGATTATAATTTGAGAAGCACTGCTATACAGGTCTACTACAAGGAGGAGCCATAGAGGTGAAATTTCACTAATCATGGATTAATAGAGCTTGTGGGCACTTCACAGCCAAGGCACATGCACCTGCAGAAAGTCCATCTGTCTTTTCCTGAGGCTATCTTTTTGCCTCCTACTTGGACCTAAGACTTCTGTGCCCAAAGACAAGAGCAGAGTTTATCAGGAGAGCAGACACACAATTATAATACAATGTTGCTGAGATTGTTGACAGATTTATAGCAAGTCTTATAAATTTACATATCTTTTAAAAAGCTATTAGTTCTTTTTGCAGTGATGGGAGAAGGTTTCAGAGAGATGAAGTTTGCCTAGTCTGGAACAATAGATGAGAGCCTGCCAGTCAGAAGTGGCAGTCCAAATTAAGGAAAGAAACAGAAAAAAAAAAGAAGTATTCAGTAAAGTTTTCTTTGTAGCACTTGTCTTTACTTTCTGCACCTTTTCCAACTCTGACTCTCTCCTTCCTCCTGATGTGTATCAGTGTTAATTCTTCTTTCCTCCTCCATTTTGCCTCTAGCTATGCATTTCTCCCTAAATGCTCTTGATAACGTGATTGATCTTTCCCGAACAGCAGCTACACAGGCTGTGCAATGCACAACTCCAGAGGAAAACATTCACAGCACAAAATTACTAATGGCATCCGCTGAAATTATGTTCTGTAACAGCCCTGACATGATCAAGCAAAGTCTTTCTTTCTTGATACTCAAAGAATACTGTGGGAATTACACTGTTGAATACCCCTTAAGAAATGCTCTCTTTTTTTGATGTCTGTGATACTGTATAATAATGACTTCTTTCCTACAACTTCCATAAATGACTTTTCTGCCCCCGTTACCTTTTTCCACAGACTGACAGCAGGTATTTTTTCAGATTCCCAAATACTTATTCCTTAGCACTTTTCTCTTGTATAATTTAATAACAAATAAAAAAACTTTTTTCTAATACTCAATGGTATTATCTGTGGACCCCTAAATATCCCTATTTGTTCTCTTGTACTCTTTCAATCTTCAATTTCATACTGGCAGATATCTGCAGGACTTTTATTTGCCTCAAACACATAAATAATTCAAACACACACACACACTCCTCCACTACCAAAAAATGTTCCCCTGAACAATTCCCATACCTTTCAGGAACCAAGTCTCAGAACCTTAAAATTGCTACTGATTCATTCCTCTACTTCAGCTTTATATCCACCCACCCAGTTGATGGGTTTTTATTTTAAGCTACATGATGACATCTTCCTTTGTAACATCCTCAATAGGAAAATATGGTTATATACAATTCTAGGGTCCCTAATTATACAGCCATCCCTGTCTTATTTAAGAAAGCATAGCAAAATGCAGAAGAATGATCACTAAGAAGGCAATGTATTATGGGGATAAGCTTGAATTTTTTTAAATTAAATAATTTACAAAGTCCAGGAGCTTAAGGGTTATTCACAGCAGTGACTCACAGTATGCAAGTGGTGACAACTTTGTGCCTTGAGCCACTGAAGGTGACAGCCACCAGCATGGAAGATGTAACTAGACTCTTAAAACACAGGAATGTAGCAGCAGTGGTGAAGTCCTAGGCTCTCTAAAGGGAGAAGTATTTTCCTGAAGGAGAGTCAGTATGGAACTGCTGGTTTCTATAGGCTGCCTGTGGACCTTGCCTTGTGATATCTCTCCATCTCCAAGACTCACTCTGGTCTCTATCTGTCACCACATTGCCTTGTCCTCTGACTCCGCCTCTTTCTGTGTCTCTCATAAAAATTCCTGCGATTACAATGAACCCACTTGAATAACCCAGGATCATGTCTTCGTTTCATAATCCTTCATTTAAGTACATCTTCAGAGTCCCTTTTGCCACATGGGGTAACATTCACAAATCCCTAGGATTCTGCAAATACAAATTATGAATTCCAAAATAAAATCTGGCAAAGAGCTCCCCTCCATATTGCTGTCCCCAGAAGCACTTTTATTCAATAGTAGAGCTCCATGTACTATTTCAAGAGTGACCACATAAAGAAGTCGAAAGTGTTTATCAAGGGTCTGCTATGTGTCAGTCATTGTCCTGCCTGCTTAGAGATGACTCTAGCAAGGGAGACACATCTATTAGTAGGTGCTTTTGATGTGTCCTAGTGAATACAAATATACAAATAGTTTAGTAATTGACCCATTTCTATGCCTCCCTCTTCCACTTTTAAGGATTCATGTGATTGGACTGGGTCCACTGGAATGATCCCAGATAATCGTTTCATTTCAAGGTCTTTAACTTAATTACACTTGCAAAGTCCCTTCTGCTATCTGAGCTAACGTATTCACAGGTTCCAGGGATTAGGAATTAGACAACTTTTGGGGACCATTATTCTGTCGACCACAGGAGGAGTGCATGCAAGATTGAAAAAACTCAACTAGCAAAATCAATGATACAGGAAGACCTGGGATCTATTCAAAGATCTTCCTTTTGAACACATTTGAAGCATATTAGTTTTATTTGTATAAAGATCATGCACACAAATTGAGGAAAACACAAATAGCCATGATCCCCCAAGTCAAATGTGCCAGTGACATTCTGAAGGACGGGTTACTTACCGAGTCAATTCAAGCATAAACATGTTACGGTCCACGATTTGACAGATGGGAGAAAATCTACGAGAATGCTTATTTCAGCATCACTTAGAGGGCAGAAAGTTGCAGGCAACCTGGTTGTCTATTACTGGGAAAGTGAACAGGGAACTATCAACAGATAGTTACATATGACCAGTATAACTCAGTAATCAGGAGGAGTTATTAGATGTACTCTAGCATGGAAGGGAGGTCAAAAATCAAAGCAGTAGTGAAGACAGGAACAGAATGAGCTAATGCAGTACTATTTACGTAAGTCATATATATGCCATGCATATATTTTGCAAGAGCATATATAAGCAAAGTTATATAAAATATATACATGCATAGATTTATAGTGGGGGGGTACACTAAAGTTGGGAATGATAAGAAATAAAACCAATTTTTAAAAGAGAAAAAATTCTAGTGTTATCAAGCTTCTGAATTTTTTTCACTGTGTCTTCTGTTTTATACATATTTTAAGTAGTTGGGATCATGCTATTTACAGTTCGATGTTTTGCATTTTAAAATCCTTAATACTAAATCATGAACAGCTCTCTATATTTGATAGCATTCTGATTATTTCCTCAGAACAGATTCCTAGAAATGGAATTATTGTGTCAAATAGTAAAAATATTTTAAATGCTCTTAATTTAAAATAACACTATATGAAAATGTCCAAATCACAGTACTATGAGCATAATCATTATGATCCATTTTAATGTAAAGGTTAAAAGAATTACAATATTGTTGCATGAATATCCTTGAACTATTGAATCTGACCCTTTTTATATACAGTTGATTTTCATTATTCACAGTAGTTATGTCCTATAAAGTCACTGTGAACACTGGATTATTGAAAACTCAATTATTGCCATTTTGTTTATTTGAAAAATAAATGTTACATTTATTTTTCAAAAATGTTGATCTATTAGTATCTATGTTATCTTCCAATTGAATTCAGGATTATTTTAGAAGGTTATTAAAATCTTATTTATATATTATTGGGGTTACTCAATCTACAGATTTATCGATAATTTCAGTTTTCATACAGAAAACTGTACTCAGGACCTGAACCCAAACACTTGACCAAAAGGACCTAGTACGTATCTGCAGAGGTCTCCATCCAAGAACAGAATGTCCATTATTCTCATTGCACATACTCCAAAATCGACCACATGATCAGACATAAAACAATACTTAGCAATTTTTAAAATACCAAAATCATACCAACCACACTCAGACCACACTGAAAAATAGAAATCCTTACTGTGAAAAGTCACTCAAAACCATACTATTACATGGAAATTAAACAACCTACTCCTGAATGACTTTAGGGTAAACAATGAAATTAAGGCAGAAATCAAGAAATTCTTTGAAAGTAATCAGAACAAAGATACAACATACCAGAATCTCTGGGACACAGCCAAGGCAGTGTTGAGAGGGATGTTTATAGCTCTAAACACCCACATCAATAAGTTAGAAAGATCTCAAATTAACAACCTAACATCACAGCTAGAGCTAGAGAAGAGCAAACCAACCCCAAACTAGCAGAAGACAATAACTAAAATCAGAGATGAACTGAAAAAAGTTGAGACACGAAAAATCATACAAAAGATCAACAGATCCATGAGTTGTTTCTTTCAAAGCATTAACAAGACCACTAACTAGACTAATAAAAACAAGAGGGAAGATCCAAATAAACACAAATCGAAATGGCAAAGAGGATGTTACCACTGACCCCACACAAATACAATAAGCCATTAGATACTATGATGAACACCTCTATGTATACAAACTAGAAAATCTAGAAGAAATGGACAAATTCCTGGACATATACATCCTCCCAAGACTGAAATATGAAGAAACTGAATCCATGAACAACCCAATAATTAGTTCCGAAATTGAATCAGTAAGAAAAAGCCTGCCAAACAAAAAAGCCCAAGACCAGAGAGATTCACAGCTGAATTCTATCAGATGTATAAAAAAGAGCTGGTGCAATTCCTACTGAAACTATTCCAAAAAATTGAGGAGGAGGGACTCCTCCCCAACTCATTCTATGAGGCTGCCATCATCCTGATACCTAATCTTTTTAATGTGCACTTTGCTTCTGGGTTCCATATTCTGGTATCCCAGGAATGCAGTGAGGTTGACTCTGTTTAGCAACCCAGGCTCTCAATGTCTCATGAGCAGCCACTTTTAGCTCTTTGCCACAGAGACTACTTCTAATGCTCCTTACTATGACTTTGCTTTAGCCTATGAAGTCTGTTCTTTTTGCCTACATTATTTTCAGATGGAGAATTGTTTCAAGTAAACTTCCAATTTTCTTTATTTTGTACCCCTGGGGCTAACAAGCACTAACACTTCTGCCTTGCTCTTGTATCTTTCTGAAAGTTTCTGCCTTGAATATTAGTATACTGCCTTGAGTAGCATTTCCTTTTGCTACAACTTTATCTGTAATATTTCAATTTATATTGCTGATCTCCTGGTCTTATCAGAAAAGCTAACTAGAATGTATAACCTATTCCTTAAATTGAGTATTTTTCCTTCTAACACACATAGGGCTAACATCGTTTGTTATATATTTCTTCCTTTTGCCTGTATCTAATCCCTTCCCGAGCCATTTGTTTTCTTAATGTAATCTCCTAACTATATTTTATGTCATCTGCCATAATGAAGATTATCTGTAAGTTCTTGGAATATTAAAATGTCAACTCTTCAAAGGAACCTTTTCCACTATCAGTTTTCCATGTTTGATAACCTCACCTAGGTAGGTTGCCAGATTTAGCAAATAAAAATACAATCCAGGATGCCCAGTTAAATTTGAATTTTAGATAAATAATTTTTTGACTATTTTATGCAGTCACTTCAGTTTAGCCTCTGAAAACCATGTCAGGGCTTAAGTGACAAATCCAGGGCCAAATTGAACACTGCTGGGCAGGAGTATGGTGGTGACTTTGGCAGTCAGGCCACATGAATTTAATGCTAGGCTCTTCTCAGTTCTCCCTCTTGGCCTTAATATCATTTTGATACAAGATCAAAAAGGGAAAATTATTTTGGATTGTTTACCTAACACTGCCTACACCTAAGTCTGGCATTAGAAAGTAGAGCTCCTGTTCTTTGACCTTATGGCACTTGGCTACCGTTGCTTTCTTGACAGAGAAACATAATGATAAACACAGGGGAAAAAAATCTAAACATGGATATTGGAGCTTCACCTGCTTTAAGGTGAGTCCCTATTATTACCCTCTCAGTTCCTCCTCCAATAGCAGCCATCCTTGTTGTGGGTTCCAAGGTCAACTCTAGCATCCTACACATTAAGGCTAAGACACCAGCGTTCGGCTAAGGCACCAGCATTCAGCTAAGAGTCTATAGGCTCAATTCTCGTCCCTTGGTTGAGCCAGCATGATCACATAGCCCAGCCATGATGTTGGCTGAGGGCCCTGTGCTCATAGACAGCTGCCACCACCTCCAGAACTCTGTGCATTTGTATAGGTCCCTTGAGTACTTCCTCAAGGACCACATAAAAAGAGATGCCCACCTGGGAATTCAGCTGTCCTAAGCTGCAGTCACCACTCAAGTAAGATGCAGCATGATATGAGATGTCCAGTCTCTGTCAGGCTATATCCATAAAAGGCCAAATGGAGGAAATGCAAAAACCAGCTTGCTTGTTTTGAGATGGAATCTCACTCTGTCACCAGGCTGGAGTGCAGTGGCATGATCTCGGCTCACTACATCTCCCGCTGTACAGGTTCAAGCGATTCTCCTGCCTCAGCCTCCTGAGTAGCTGGGACTACAGGCACGTGCCACCATGCTCGGCAAATTTTTTCTATTTTTAGTAGAGATGGGGTTTCACCATGCTAGCCAGGATAGTTCCTATCTCCTGACCTCGTGACCCACCCGCCTCAGCCTCCCAAAGTGCTGGGATTACAGGTGTGAGCCACCGCACCCAGCTGCAAAAACCAGCTTTATTGAAAACCAAAATTTCAATCTCTAAGATCATTGCGCTCTCTAAATCCCAGTCCTTTTCTACTCTAAGATTCACAAAATGCACTATTTAGTTATGAGGAGGTCCACCCAGTAAATAACACCCTAAGATGTGAGACAATTGAGAAATCAAAAGAATAAGGCAACAGCTGTATGTGAGCTTCCAGTGGTCATGTTCACCACATGTGTTCACCCTTCCCCTAGAAGTATGTGCCATGTATCAGCTCACCCCAAGACTCTGTCTTGGGAACAGACACACTCCCATCTTTGTTTCACTCTGGTCTGGGTTTGAGTGATCTAGAGAATGATGTTTGAGAGATTAAATCAGTCAAGGAGAAAAACGTGTACCAATATCTGTTGCTTAGCATATAAACAAATAATTTTACCTCCACAAGGAGGAATAAACAGTGGAACAAGAAAATACAATTATGCCAGGTGTGGTGGCTCCCACCTATAATCCCAGTACTTTGAGAGGCTGAGGCAGGTGGATCTCTTGAGCCCAGGAGTTTGAGATCAACCCGGGCAACAAAGTGAGATCGCATTTCTACAAAAAATTTAAAAAATTAGCCAGGCGTGGTGGTGCATGCCTGTAGTCCTGGCTACTCATGAAACTGAGGATTGTTTGAGCCCAGAGAGACTGTCTTAAAGAAAAAAAAAAAAAAAAAAAAAAAAAAAAAAAAAAAAAAAAAAAAAAAACGACAATTTTGAGGCTTTCAATTGCTTTAGAAAACAGAGGTAAAAGATGTATTCTTCCTCTAATATCCATCAGACTAATTTATTGGTTTATTGTAAGGAATAATAAAATAATGATGGAAGGTGCTGAAATATAGTAAACACTACATTTTGTTATTACTACTATGTTATTTCATCATCATTTTATTCTTACTGACTGGGTGGAGAGATGTTAAGTCTGGGCAGAAGGGTAGAGAAGTGATCTGTAGTATTTAGTAAACTCATATTCATTATCTAAGCTCTCTTCTCCACTGCAAAAGAATACCAACTTTATAGCAGAACAGTAATATTCACCTTAGCAAGTAAAATATGGATTATAACCTTGGCTGTTTTTTCTTGGGAGCTATTTTTTGTGTTGCCAAGAACATCAGGGCCCCTAAAATGTAAATGGACAGAGGCTGTACTCTGACTAAGCTTTCCTATTGGAAGACAAGTTCCTGCAGGAATGCACCTGAGGAGCAGTTTCACTATCCAGTAGTTTGACTTGAGTCTGAGAAAGTGAAAATAGAAAACTCTGGAGCAGGACTGCAAACACAGGTTATCTTGGAAAAGAACCAGAGGTCAGCGCACATGGCAGCAAGAAATCAAGAACTGTTGGGAGGCTAACTGTGTTGTGTAGAATTTGGTTGTGTAAAATAAGACTTGTAAGGAAACAAAAGTAGTTTGTAGTAGGTAAATTCTAACCTGCCTTGAGTTTGCATTCAGAACTAAGGAATTTCAACTGAGACCAGATCCCAAAAACAAAAGAAGGCTCCTAAACATCAAAGTGTAGAAGAGATCAAAATGACTAGAATCTACCCCTGAAAAGATTCTCGTGGTCCATTTTCATCCCACTTTAGGTCCATTCCCATCCCACTTTAGAAAAATTCTCATGATCCATTTCCATCCCACTTTTCACACCTTCCATAAAGCAGTGTGTCATTGAAACAACTAAGCATTTTCCCCAGATGTGTTGCTATGAAACTGCTTTAATAGAGCCCATTTCAGGACTTAAGGTAGGTATTTTCAAAGTATCTATATCAAATGTAAACAAAACCTGCAGCAAATAACTTATTGCTTAAATAAAATATTAAAGCTAATGTAACATATCATGGCTTGATAAAGATACTAACTGGCCATTTGACTTTTAGTCTTGATCTTCCTAGGACTCGAATTCTGCCTTTATAAATGAAGTGACCAGAATCAGGGATCTCTAAAGTCCATGCCAGGATCTAAACTCTGAGTTTAATACGTACACATGACTTTGCCTGTTCTCCAGATGCTCCTTCACAAAGCTTCAAGGCTCTGAGAAACAGAGGACCCTGGACAGGACCCCTGAGACATCATCCTTCTAGTTCTCATCACTGAAACCAGGACAGTAATAAGCACCCTTTCCCTAGGTGTTCCCACAGACATCTGCAAGTTCCTGTCTACCACCTGCCTCTCTCAACTCAACACAATTCAATCTAACCTCTGAGCCCCTTGTTCCATGGCCTTATGATAGTGAACCTGAGTCGTTGAGTTGCATTCCACATCCTACTGAGAGATACATTCTGAAAAGGATACAGACGGGAACTTCATACACATGTCTGTGATGGAGTCAAACAGTTTGAAGCCAACGTTCTGAGGCTTGCAAATATCTAAGCCAGAACATGCTCCCAGAACTAGAACTACAGGGATAACGTAAACTAGATCATGAATAACCCAAGAATAACGAGATATACATTTTCAGGACTTAAGTCATTCTGTAGGGATACATCCCCAAAGTGCTATCCCAATTCTACCCATCTTAAATCATTGTTCGTGTTCAGTCTGTATTTTCTTATTTGGAACTTCCCCCCCTCTAATATTTAACACACATTTATTCTCCTTTTGTGGAGAATTTTATTAGTCAAGCATTTTTCTACATCCTCGCCTTTAAAATTTTATGATTCCTAGAATTGTTTTGTGATTGGTTCAATAAAAGTTATCTGTTCTCAAGGGTGCAAAAATTTAGCTCATTATCAGCAAATGATTTTTAGTGGCCAAATACCATGTTTATTATTTGCAGACAAGGAAGGAGAAGGATATGTTCACAAGAAACATGCCATTAGAGT
The DNA here is from genome assembly GCF_000001405.40 of Homo sapiens. Taxonomy (NCBI): domain Eukaryota; kingdom Metazoa; phylum Chordata; class Mammalia; order Primates; family Hominidae; genus Homo; species Homo sapiens. Next base: position 23,945,299 of record NC_000006.12, read on the forward strand.
TTCTATAGCTGCCTATCCCCCAGGTTTCCTTTATTATGAAGTGAAACACCAACAAAAATTGCATAAAACATGAAAGTATCATTTCACAAATTATGAAGCCAACAAACAGTGTGACAAGCAACTTTTAAAAATAGCTTCCAATGATCCCTAACTCCATGTGTTCAACCCCTTGAGTAATCCTCTCGAGTGTGAGCTAGACCTACTGACTTGCTTCTAATGAATAGAATGTCACAGAAGTGATGTGATGTCATTCTAGAATTAGATTATAAGAAATGTGACTTCCGTCTTGTATTAGTCTCTCTCTAGCTCTTGTTGCATGCTTTCTTTGGTAGACAGGGCCACCTGGGGGTGGTATCTGGCCAACAGCCACCAAGGATATAAATCTTCAATAATTACTATACAAACTTGGAAGTGGATCCTGTCCCAGTTGAACCTTGAGATAACTGCAACCCCTGGCAACACCTTGATTTCAGCCTCATAAGAAACCCCAGGCAAACACCTTGTTTGCAGCCTGTGAAAGACCCTGAAGCAGGAGACTCAGTCTGTGCCTGGGTTTCTGACTCACCGAAACTATAAGATGAAAAATTTGTGTCATTTTAAGCCATTAAGTTTTGGAATAACTTGTTATACAGCAATAGACAATTAATGCACCAACTAACCAGAAGCAAGTCAAGAAATAGGACCAGGCAGCACCCCAAAAGCCCCATCTTTGTTCCTTAAGCCTCCATATCCCTTCCAGAGACAATCACCATCTCCACTTATGAAATAATCACTTCTGTTATTGTTTCCTTGATACCTACTTATGCATGCATTCCCAAATAATTTTATTTGGTTAGGTTTTGGAATGTTCTTTGAATATTACTGTTATCACTTTTAACTTTTGTTTTTTTTGGTAAACATTATGTTTTCCAGATAAATTCAAGTTGTTGTATGTACCTAAGATTTATTCATTTTCATTGCTCTATAATTTTCTTCTGTGTGAATGTAACACAACCTTTTACCCATTCTACCCTTGGACATTTGGATTGTTTTCGGCTAAGGGCTATTACAACAATGATGTTATCAAGATTGATGTGCATGTGTAAGTATCCTAATGCACATGTTCACACATCTAGTTATTTGTGGAATGGCCAGGTTATAGGATGTGCTTATCTTCTGGGTATTATAAAATGCCATAGGCTTTCTGTTTTCTGTAGTAGTAGTATCAATATCAGAGTGAATATAGAGGGTGCAAGAGAGGAAAAGGAGAATGGGAGGAGCTAGTTATATTTTCTGGTAATGAAACTCAGTTTGGTTAAAAAAACAACTTTTTTCTGTTTTGTTTCATGGATTGGCATTTTTTTAAAAACTGCCTGTTATTAGGCCTCCAAATTATAGCAGCACCTCCTATAACTGGACTGCCTCCATCAGTTGAGAGGTTCAAATCTATTGATGTTTACTGGATTTATTTATTTAGTCTGTTCCAATTTAAACACTTCAGGCCCAAGGCACAAAAGTATATAATCTCTAATTTTTGTAATCCTACCTAAATGTTATACAAGCATCTTGTTTTAGGGATTTGTCTAAAATCAAGGAAAACTGATGTCTCTGGCTTTGTTCACATTTTAATTTCCTTAATTGTGATGAAATACAAAGTTTAGGACACTATGAAAGATACCTACCAAAGATTTTGAGATATCCTTTTATTCTTTGTCAAACACGCCCAAAATAGCACTTTCCTCTCTGCTCATTGCCTACAGTTAAGTGTAGTCTAAGCAATCCAGGTCTCTGATTCAATGCTGCAAGAAATGTCAATGTGTGGGAAATGTGGTATGCTGGTGCAGGGTTGCCCTTACGCTATTTTATAACCTTTTCCATAGCAGAAACTGTATCTACTCACAGCCTCTTTCCAGTGTTGGTTTAATCCCATCAGGCCTCTTGCAGGTGAATCCCAGCAAAGTTCAGACCTTCATTTCTAATTAGGATAAATATGGTAAAGGCTAAGTCACTTTGACAAAAAGACCCAAAAGTGTAGTGGTTTGTTCATACAAAAAAAAGGAGTCTAAGTTGACAGGGTAGCTCTCCCCCAGATGGCCATCCAGGGATACGGGTTTCTTCCTTCTTATTGCCCCACCATGCCATAGAGTGTGTCTATTTCTGCATGTTTCAAAATGAATCAAAGGCATATCCATGCTCGAGCTCTCAGAGAAAGAAAAGAAAGAGTCAAGGGCAGAAACTTCCTTTTAACCAAGTGAAATTGAAGTTGGAAAGTATGTAATTGTAAGAGCTCTACAGTTTACTTGAAGGAGTACACTACCGAATATTTAAGAAATAAATTATATCAATCTTTGAAGTCTTCCAGAAAAAAAGAACAGGAGTAACACTTTCCAACACATTTCTGCACTAACCTGAAACCAAAAGTAAACAAATAAAGCCATCCAAATCAGAAATCGAGAAGTAGAACTTGCTGTTTGCAGATGACATGATCTCATACATCAAAAACCCTAAAAACTCGAAAAAAAAAAAACTGTTAAAAATGAATTCAGCAAAATCAACATACCAAAATCAGTGATATTTCCATATACTAACAAATTATCTGATAAGGAAATCAAGAAAATCTCATTTATAATAGTGTCAAAAATTTTGTAAATACTTAGGAATAAACTTAACCAAGGGGGTAAAGACATACCCACTGAAAATTCTAAAATGCTGATAAAAAAGTAAAGCAGACACAAATAAGTGGAAAGACATGCTATGTTCATAAATTGGAAGAATTATTGCTAAAATGTTCATACAACCAAAGCAATTTACAAATTCAATGCAATTCCCATTAAAATTCCAATGACATTTTTCACCTAAATAAAAAAAATCCGGAAGTCCATATGGAACCACAAAATTTTCCTGACTAGCCAAAGAAATCTTGAGCAAGAACAAAGCTAGAGGCATTGTATTTTTCCAGTTTCAAAATATATTATTAAGTTACAGTAATCAGAAGTGTAAGGTTCTGGCATCAAAACAGATACATCAACCAAATGGAACAGAATAGAAAGCCCAGAAATCAATCTATTCCCCTACAGTCATCTGATCTTCCACAGGGTGTCAAAAATACACACTGGGGAAAGAATAGTCTTTTCAAGGAACAGCATTAGGAAAACTGGATATCCCCATGCAAAAGAATAAAATTGGACTTTTATTATACACCATACAAAAACATTAATTCAAAATGGATTAAAGAATTAAATGTCCTGGCTAACACGGTGAAACCCCGTCTCTACTAAAAATACAAAAAATTAGCCGGGCGTGGTAGCGGGCGCCTGTAGTCCCAGCTACTCGGGAGGCTGAGGCAGGAGAATGGCGTGAACCCGGGAGGCGGAGCTTGCAGTGAGCCGAGATCGCGCCACTGCACTCCAGCCTGGGCGACAGAGCGAGACTCCGTCTCAAAAAAAAAAAAAAAAAAAAAAAAAAAAAAAAAAAGAGTTAAATGTAAGAGCTGAAACCATAAAGCTTCTGGAAAGAGAAAGCTGGCCAGGCCCGGTGGCTCACGCCTGTAATCCCAGCACTTTGGGAGGCTGAGATGGATAGATCACAAGGTCAAGAATTTGACACCAGCCTGGCCAAAATGGTGAAACCCCGTCTCTCCTAAAAACACAAAAATTAGCAGGGCATAGTGGTGCACGCCTTTAGTCCCAGCTTGTCGGGAGGCTGAGGCAGAAGAATTGCTTGAACCCGGGAGGCGAAGGTTGCAGTGAGCCAAGATCACGTCACTACACTCCAGCCTGGGTGACAAAGCAAGACTCTGTCAAAAAAAAAAAAAAAAAAAAAAAAAAAAAAAAAAAAGAGTTAAATGTAAGAGCTGAAACCATAAAGCTTCTGGAAAGAGAAAGCTGGCCAGGCCCGGTGGCTCACGCCTGTAATCCCAGCACTTTGGGAGGCTGAGATGGATAGATCACAAGGTCAAGAATTTGACACCAGCCTGGCCAAAATGGTGAAACCCCGTCTCTCCTAAAAACACAAAAATTAGCAGGGCATAGTGGTGCACGCCTTTAGTCCCAGCTTGTCGGGAGGCTGAGGCAGAAGAATTGCTTGAACCCGGGAGGCGAAGGTTGCAGTGAGCCAAGATCACGTCACTACACTCCAGCCTGGGTGACAAAGCAAGACTCTGTCAAAAAAAAAAAAAAAAAAAAAAAAAAGCTTCTTGATATTATTCTGCCTTCACGGTGACTTCTTGGATATGATGCCAAAGACACAGGCAATAAGAGCAAAAATAGATTAGTGGGTTAATATCCAAAATACATAAGGAATGCCTACAACTCAATAGCAAAAAAAAACAAAAAACAAAAAAAAAAAAAAACTGATTAAGAAATGGGCAAAGTACCAAATAGACATTTACCAAAGAAGACACAAAAATGCCCAAGAGGTAGATGAGCAGGTACCCAACATTGCCATTCCTCAGAGAAACCCAAACAAAACCACAATGAGGCAGAACCTCACTGAGTGATATGATAGGATGGCTTAAAAAAAAAAACAAAACACAAACGAGGTAACAAATGTTGGTAATTATGTGAAGAAATGGAAAGCTTGCACACTGTTGGTGAGAATAAAAAAATTGATACAGCCACTAAGGGAAACTGTATGAAAATTTCTTAAAACATTCAAAACAGAACTACCAAATGACCTAGCAATCCTATTTCTGGGCATAAATCCAAAAAAAAGTGAGATCAGGATTTCAGGAAGATATCTGTACTCCTATGTTCATTGTACTGTTATCAAAATAGCTTAGACATGGAAGCATGAATATAAATGTTCATCAATGGATGAATAAAGAAAATGTGGTACATACATACAATGGAATACTACTCTGCCTTAAAATGAAATCCTACCATTTGTGATCTATACAACATAGACGAACCTGAGGGTCATTATGTTAAGTAAAATAAGGCAGGCACAGAAGGCCAAGTACTGCAAGAGAGTGGGTCAGTTGTTGTCAGAGATTAAGGGTTAGGAGAGGGTTTCAGAACAAAGGGGCAAAGTGAGGGAGATTTTTCGAATAATGAACAGATCTTTATCTTGATTGTGAGCTTGGTTACATGACTATGTATCTGTCAAAACTGACAGCTCTAAAAAGATTGGATTTTTTGTATATGTAAATTTAAAAATAAACAACAATATTTTTAAACTACTGGCAAGGCCACATGGACGTGCACCAGCTGAGTAAGACACTGCCCACAATAAAATCTTTTAAATGATCAAACTATGTTTCTAAGACTTTTATTTGTTCAGTAAAGCACTTAGCTTTTTTGTTTTGTTTTGTTTTTGAGACAGAGTTTCACTCTTGTTGCCCAGGCTGGAGTGCAATGGCGCGATCTCGGCTCACCGCAACCTCTGCCTCCCAGGTTTAAGCGATTCTCCTGCCTCAGCCTTCTGAGTAGCTGGGATTACAGGCATGCACCCCCATGCCCAGCTAATTTTGTATTTTAAGTACAGATAGGATTTCTCCTTGTTGACCAGGATGGTCTCGAACTCTCGACCTCAGGTGATCCACCTGCCTCGGCCTCCCAAAGTGCTGGGATTACAAGCGTGAGAGGACTTAGCTTCTTAACTGGCTTGTTCTCTTTGAGGCCTTGACAATTTTATGAGAAATTTTAGAAATGAATTGAGCTCCTCACCAGAGAAATACAAAGCACTACCTCAACACAAACCTCCTGGGTGATAACCCCTTAGGTAGAACCAAGGGTGTTGATGGAAATCCTAAGTTAAATCTTTAGGAAGACCCACAGTGCCTGCATTGACTGTAAAAGTAACATCTCTTGTCCCTAGACATTCAAAGACGCATGGCTTTTCTCTTTGCAGAGAGCAAATATGGGGTAGGGGATTGCGGGGATGCTGGGGAAAATGGAACCTCATCTATCTTTTAATCTTAATTTCCTGCCTTTCACACTTACCCTTTGGAGACCAGAATCTCTGGACAAGTTTACACTCTCAGTAGGCTGACCTTATGACTTTCAATGCGAAGGTGAATTTTGCAAAGGTAGAAGGTTAAATCTGAAATAGCATTGTGGGTAATGCAGTGGTTTATATAGAGTCTTAAAATTCCCTAATAATGAAGGCTGCATCTAGGAAAATCTGTCACATAATATGCATGGTTTATCTTGCCCCTTCCCCACCCTACCCCTCTGGCTTTTTTTTTGCTATGCACAGAACCTTTCTCCTCCAAGCCCTGACAGTGCTCCACTTTGGAAACCAATTCTCGTACATATCAGTGCTCGTTTAAATCAATGTATTACCTACCCCAAAGACACGCTTGTTTTAGAACAATTACAAATGTCAGATATATGATGCCTGTGAAGCATCTAAGCTGGTGAGAGAAGTTTAAGAAATTGGGGAATGCTCGCATGGGTGTGGGCATTATAAACAACTCCACATGGACATTTTTACTTAAAAATGAGGACAGCCCCATTAAGTACTCCTACGCAACTAGCAGAAAGTTTCAAACATCAGAGAATTTCCCAGCCATGCAATGGCTGTTTGGGAAGCAATTTGCCAGATGTCTATGAGAGTTAACACACTCTAGGTCCCTATGCAATCAGGCCCCTAGATAACAGCTTCACGGCCATTAAAAATTCACAATTAGTTGTCTAGTGCAATATCTGTTATCCAGAAATGGTCCCTATGTGACATTAGAAAGGAGAACAATAAGCACCCTGGCACATAGTGATAATGTATTCAAAAATCTTATCTTCAGTTTTAAGACTTCCAAGTAGATGAAATGGTTCCCCATCATCAAGTTGCCATTGATCTTTTTTTTTTTTTTTTAACTGCAATTACTGGTCAGAATTTTTTTCATTAGAAACAAGTCAGAAATCACTGAGCAAATAAGTAAACACTAAGAATGCCGTGGTTCTTTAGAACTTTAAAAAAAGCAAATTAGGCTTCTGGAACATCTCTGAGCCTGCTCTGCACCGTCTCCTTCCAAGAAGCAAAATAAATAAAAGCAAAATATTCACTGTCTGGAAAAGAGATTACTAGTGAGACATATGACAAGGATCAGTGTTGGAAGGGACTGCATATTTTAATTATGTATACAAATGGCTTGGTAGTGAGAGCAAGATTTGCAGATTAAACAGTGAGGGAGGTATGGCACAGTAAATAATAAGGTGCCCAAATGCCAAGCAGCAGCTGAGGATTTACATTGTGTGCTATATGTGAGCTCAGAAGATGGAAAATGCAGATAAGTGTAAACAAATGTCAAATAATATGCCCAGTGGCCAAGAAATATAGAAAGTGAATTCGAGATCAGGGAAACCATGCTGCAGCATAATGATCAGGACACGAAGGAAACACAGGCTTGTCACACCCAAGACGAGCTTCTAGGAAGCCCAGAAATATTTCTGAGAAGATGAGGATGGAAGAGAAAACCCACTGCAACTCGTACACAAACACCCGCCTGATACCTTCCAAGCATAAAGGCACTGGCTTCTTCGTGTAATTCATCTGTGATCTGTGGATAACCTGCTAGCTGGTATTAAAGGAATAGTGAGGTGTAGAGGCTGGCTTTAGTTAGTGCTAGCTCTGCCACTGGCCAGCTGGTCAACCCTCATCAAGTCTCTTTATATCCCTGAGCCTCAGTGATGTTCCTCATACCTATTTAAGGACCTTTTAGCCAACTTTTGTGACAAATTGTCACAGGTTAGCTTTGTCAGGGCTGAAACCCCCCTTTGTTGAGGTGGTCCAAGCATCTGCCAGGGCCTGGGCATTCTGAGGACTTGGCACGCATTTCAACTTAGCAACCTTTTCTACATGAATGCTTGAATCCTTTGGGACACATGAACTTTCATAATTTAGTTCGTTCCTTGTTAAAATTTAGTTTGTCTTTTCATTTTCAAATAAAAATCTAGACGTAAAGGAAAAACCTGAAGAATTCAAGAGGAAAAAAATTGATCTTAACTGCCTGGATTTTTTTGGCAAAGTATCTCAGAGTTCAGAATCATTTAAAAGCCACGTATTTGAAATTCCTGCTTGGAGGGCAAAGTGCACTGGTGTTACAGTTTCCAAGTATTTTCACATTTATTATTTTAATCTTCAACAACAATCCTTTAAGAATGATGATGAACATACCGCCCATTTTATAGAAGAGAAAAAGATCAAGACTCAGAAAAATTAAGTGACTTACATGAGGTCAAATGGTCATGTTCTTTAATTATGCAAATATTTCAGATAAAATTGATAAAAATGAGGAGTCTCTAACACAGCTTAAATAGATTTTATTCTTTATATGACACAAATTAATTCCTTAGAGTAGTTGCTATGGACCAATGAACCAGTCATATACCCTCCACGTGGATCCTGGCTTCTTCATGTTTAATATGTTGGATGACTTTTGGCAAATTACTTAAGTTTTCTCATGTTTAGTTGCCAGTTCTGTAGAACAGCAATAATAATTTCTACTTCATAGCATTATTGTAAACATAAAATGAAATCACACATTTAAAGTAATCAGCAAGTACTAAGTACTCAAACTCAGCTAGTAAGAACAAGATCTTCTAAGATGGGCTACAAAAAGCCTGAATTATACATTATAACACTTGTAAAATGGGCTCAAAAGCAGTATCTGAGGAATTGTAAAAAGGCAATGTTGACAGAACAAAGCAGGATATACAACTCAACATTCAACATTAATTTGTTTATAAAAAATAAAAATATTTGATAAAATGATTGCAAAGACACTTCAAAGTATTTGCAGCATTCACTTTTTTGTGTGATGAAATTATTAATATATTGATGAATACTGACACTATTTCACTGGCCTTGCCAGAAACGAGCCTTTTGGTGAATCATCTTGTTTACTTAACCAATGAAAATTCTGTACAACAGGGAATGAGCTAATCTAGCCTGAGCATTGCTAAAGGACGTGTGCTGAATTAGTGAACTCCGCAAAGAGCTTTGCACTGCAAGAATACTGTCCTACTCAAGTGGGTTCTTCATTAGCTTGTAGCCTATTAGTACTTCTGTCATGTTCAGACATACAAAAACAAGAAATCAGAACCTGAGATCTAAAACATAGCTTTAACAGCACCTCATAGGACTCCCACAATGTATGCTTGAAAAAAATACAAGCCCAGAGCAGTTATGTGACAGGCCAAAGTCAAGCATCTGGCTATAAGCACAGCCTGGTTAAGAGTCTAAGTCTTGCCATTTACAGACCCCTGATTTCCCCTCGACATTCTGATGTCAAAGTGGAAGTATGACGACGTATCTGGCCAAAACTGCCTTAACCGTATGTTAATGAGAGAAAGAATATAGGTTTCGCCTAAGTATCAAAAACAAGGTAGTGAAATTCAGAATAATTTCAACACATCATCAAGGTTGCTTTTCTTTGCTGTTCAAATGGAAACAAAATACAGTACCAAAAAAACAAAACAAAACAAAAATCAAAAAGCAAAATCTCTTACAATGCAGTTTTTACACAGATAATGGTTTTGTTCTTATCTTTGAAGGTCACAAATATTCATAGTGCTATTCAGTCACCAGTAAAAGGTAATGCAAAGACGACAAATATTGTTTCATGTAACAATTACATTTTACTGAAAGGCAAAGTAATATGACTTGCATAATCTCAGAATTTTTTTAATTACAAAGGAAAAGACCCCAAATCCCCTTTTCATGAACTCTTCAAATAATAAAAGATAGGCTCACAAGCCAAAGGCGGCAGAATAATTAAGATTCATGACTATAAAGAGCTAAGAAGGAAGCTGGGCTTTCACAGTGAGAACTAATAATGTAATCATGAAAAAATAGGAACAGTGCCCTGGGAGAGAGAGAGGACTGAGACCTAAGAGTAAGGCTATCTTCCTGTGGGTTTCATGTGCAGAGCCTACATGCCACTACAGATTGTCATGCTGCTGAGAGGAAAGGTGCACTTTGCATTTAAAGAGTAAACCCAGTTCTGAAATTTGAGCGGCAGTTAAGAATAACTTCTAGGAAGGTTACTTTGGCATCTTGCTTTTCTTCCCAAAAACAACCTGCCTTTTCCGTTTCCAAATTCTCTACCCAAGGCTGCTCTTTAGTCTTAGAAATCTACATATTGAGAGTTCCATCAATTGCATTCAAAGTGTGTAAGTCTTTCTTTCCTACCTTGATAGCAAGCCACATTCATGCAGTTGATGTGGTCACCCAGTAATTCACCTCTTCAAAGCACATGAAAATTCTTAAGGAATAAAAGACGTAACTTGGAAGATGATGAGGAATAGTAACTGCAAAGTATACAAGTTGTATGACTTGGCAGCATAAATAAAAATTGAGAGAAACAGGCCTAAGAATGTATTTTACACATAAAAAATCTGTAATTGCCTTTTGTGCAAGATTATTAAAGGCAAAAAAAAAAAGACCATTTACAAAGCAATTAGGTGTTATCCTGGGGAAAATGTGATGTTAAAAAGAAGATTACAGTCAATCGTTCAAAGCCTTTTCTTGTGCCCTGTAGGGTCCTTTGCTTTAAATGTGCAATTGAGGAGTTGACCTACTAGGGATATCTGATGAGGTTCTACAAGCCAAGCTGCTGATGGCAGAGGATAGCTTCATTACAGTGTGATAACAGCCTAATTCTGCTGCTTATTACAGACCTGAAGTGCCCCCAAATATAATTGGATATTTTTCCCCATCTGAATTCCAACATCATTGCTAGTCACTAAGAAGTGACAAATAGAGGACATACTCAGCATTGCACAGAAATTCCAAGGACATGACACTAAATTAAGGAAAATGGATTCTAAATATGAACAGTCAGGGAAGGTAAAGAGAGATGAACAGCAGAGATTTTTTCCCTCACATTAACCTTGCAGTCTCTTATTTTCCTTAGTGCACTCTTACTCAGCTGAAGCCTCTCATTCTATAGTTTTCTCACATTTGAGCCACTAAATAAAAATCAGGGGCTAATGATTCAGAATACTTACTAATATGGTTCACCTGCAACCTTTCAACTGGGAACTCTAGTCATGAATTCCACCTCCCAAAAAGGACATTGTGCTTGGTATTCTTATTCCCAGGAGTATGTGTTGGAATTTTACATTGAACTATTCATTTTAGATTATGATTGCAAAGATCAGTGTGTAAAGGGGACTCTAATAGATTTGTCAGCACCAGCTATGCTACAATTAATAACGAAGAGCTTTTTAGAACACTGATGAAGGTCAAATATCAGACTGCTTGGATTTGAATACTACCTAGCATTGCGAGCTAGGTGACCTTCAGCAACTTCCCAGCTTCTTTTTTGAATGGAGTCTCGCTCTGTAACCCAGTGTCTCAATCTCGGCTCACTGCAACCTCCACCTCCTGGGCTGAAGCAATTCTCCTGCCCCAGCCTTCCAAGGAGCTCGGATTACAGGTGCCCACCACCATGCCTGACTAATTTTTGTATTTTTAGTACAAACGGGGTTTCACCATGTTGGCCAGGCTGGTCTCGAACTCCTGACCCCAGGTGATCCACCCGCCTCAGCCTCCCAAAGTACTGGGATTACAGGCGTGTGACCCCGCACCCAGCCCTTCCTGGCTTCTTAAAACTCCAGTGTTTTCATCTCTAAAATGGGCATAATAACAGTACATGTTAGCAATGATTCAGTGAGATAATCTCTTAACAGCTTAGCACTGTACAAAACACATTGTCACCAAATGTTAGCTTATGTTAGGAAAGTGTTAAAGAGAAAATGAGCAGAGAACTAAGGTCTGTTTTTCTTAAGGGATATCCTTTAAAAAATGACAAAATTGTAATACATTTAAACCTCTCGAGGAGAGATTCTCAAACTCTAGCATTCATGAGAATCACCTGGAGAGCTTGTTGAATTTTTACCCACCCCTACATTCTGGCAGTGTCTGATTCAATAGGTGTGGGGTAGAGGGCTGAGAATTTGCATTTCTAACAAGCTCCTAGGTAATGTGGATGCTGCTGGCCAGAAGACTACATACTGAGAGCTGCTGCTATAGCAAAAGGAGAGCGAGCTGATTAATTGGGCACTGACCACGTGTCAGCCACTATGTACCTATGGCATTTATTTCAGTGAAAAGCACTCATCTTTCTATCCAGATATAAAAGCCACATTTCTAAGCCAGTCATGAATATTGCCATTCAGTTCTAAAAGATTGACAAGTACTAAGACATTCTCCTGGGCAAAAAAAAATATATTTGCACTTATATACATATGATTGGAATCAATTCTGGTCACACTACTTAATAAACAGATTTTTGTATCTATTAATATGCTTTGGTCGGTGAATAATGTACTCTGCCCTACACTCCAAGATTTACATGCCAAAGGATTTGTCATACCAAAATAAAAAGAACACAGGGGAATGAAGTGATGGGTCAGAAAATTAAGTTCATAATAAAAGTATCATTTTTTGAGATTCCTTATTCTGACATTAATCCAAATTTCAGTATCAGTAACTATCAGTAGTTATAAGTAAATTTTTAATAAGAATTGTATAATATATTCTAATTACTCTTTTTGCTATCATTATCAGCACTTTAAAAATACAATATGCATAATAAAATAACACCACAAAATAAACTGAAAATGTGTTTAAAATTCTCCATGAGCACTTGGGGGAGTGGAATTTTTTTTTAAAACTAGTTTAAAATGGAAATAAGAAAAAGGACTATTTTAAACCCTTGAAACTTCACATTCAAGATAAATAATAAGGACATTTCTACCTACTTCTCCCTTTTACTTAAAATATTATTCAGGGCATAATCTTTAAAGCCACTCAAATCAATAAATGCTACACAAAAGCCTGGTATAGGAACAGGGCAACCTCATCAATGCCAGCTTCATAGTACAATAACATTCTATCTTATTGAATGTTAAGGTGTAAAATACAAATTAAATATGGCAATATAAGGAGTAATTCCACTTTTGTCTTCTTAGAATGCATTTCTTGACTATAGTCAATTTCACCTTCATAGCCAGGACCAAGTGAAGCAAGTTTTAAAATAAGTGGATAATGGAAAACAAGCCTTTATTTGGTGAATTTTAATATATTCTGCTTACAAATCACTAGTAAATAACTTTTAGAGCAAAGCTTCTTACAAAATGCTTTAGTCTTACTATCATTCAAATAATCAACTGCATATTCCTACTAGTTATTGGTACCTATGCCTATTGGATTTCTCCATTTTTCTTTCATCTTTATCTTGGATCTTGATCTTCCTGAATCTTAGCCAAGAACATGCTCAAAGAACTCTAAACTCAAAGAAAATTCAACGTGTGATTTAAGAGGAAAGCCTTTCATTTTCATTTTGTTTCATTGTAAACAAATTCCTTTGACTATTTGAGATTTTTTTCTAACAGAAATAAATGAAATTTGGAGAAAAGTATTTTGGTGGTAGTTTGAGCATTTTCCTTTAACCAAAGCAAAAACCAGAGTTTGTTTTGCTTTTGAAAATAGACATCTATAGATAATTCTTCTATAGTGTAAAGCAAAGTCTAATTTTCATGAAATTCTATTTGTTAGTCAAATTATCCCATTCGGCCCTTTGGACATAGGTATTTTCTAGAAGCTAAGATTGAGACATAAGGAATAGAATGTGATTAATGAAGATTTGCCGAAGAAGGAATTCCAGACACATCCAATGACTGTTCAACAGTGGTGGAAGTCACACTCCCTATAGAAATAGCTCTTTACCATGCTGTTTAATACCAGATGCCACATATGAGTTAACTTTGGGAAGATGCACTAATTTCAAGCCCCTTTTGCCTAAGTAACTGTCATTAATTGAGCTCCTTCTATCTGCTAGCCATTGTACTGGAGACACAAGAAAAAAGACATTGCTCATCCCATCTCCCCTTTCTGACACAAACACACACACACACACTTTCTCTCTCTCTCTCTCAACCTCCCATACAGAGGGTTTGCAATCCCCCGGGAGAGAAAAGCTACATACATTGTCCTTTTCCTTTAGTTTCCATCATCTGCTTTTGTACTGGAATTCTGCTTGTTTGCTCTAGCCACAATGGAACTCTTTCAGGTCTTTGAAGGCATCACGCTACTTCCTATCCCAAAGCCTGAGCATACTCTTCCCTCTCACTTGGGAAACGCTGTCTGCCTTTACCATGGTACACACTGTTCATTCTTCAGGTGTCACATTAAACACTGCTTTCTCAGCAAAGCCATCTCTAATCCCCTATAAGATGTCCTCAAAGCTCTGAGATACTTGCCTTGTAGCATGCATCACAGTAGGTAACCATGTATTTGTGGAAATTTCTGGTGCACATCCATCTTCTCTACTTGTCAACAGCAACATCAAATGGGCTTCCTTATCACGTGCCATGCTAAGTGTTTGGAATACAATAATGAAGACGGAGTTTCTATTCCATGCAACTATATGCTAATGTTAGATGTAATCATCTAATAAAGATTGTAATAAATATTGAGACAAATAAGCAAGATTTTATCATTGTAATGTTAAAGGACTGCTTTAAATAATGGGAAGCTGATGCATCAGGAATGAGATGGTGCCAACAAAAAATGTGCACCAGGCACAGGAAGAGCCAGTGCAAAAGGCTGGGAAGAGCCGCTTCTGGTGAAAAGCGTCAGAGGAGGATAAAAGAGCTGGAACTTAGCAAGCAATGGTGAGAGAACTATGAAAGAGGGATGAGAAGGCAAAGTAGGCAATAGACCTTATAGATCTCCACAGTCGAGGAAAGAATTTAATTCTAAACCAACGGAAAGAGTGAGATTTTGGTACAACCTAGTAAGTAGTAACACAAGAACAAGTAGTTCTGCTTAAAGAAAGAAAGAATGGTAAAGTACAAAGAGCATCAGAAGTGATATATTGAGCCATACCTTAAAGGAAACTTCCCAAGAGAAAAAGGAAAGTTTATTAAATCTATACACTTGGTCTTTGCAACAGATTTCACAGAAAATTGTATTGAGAAGCGAATGCCCTTTGAAACAAACTCTTAGTGTCCCCATAAAATAATATCAAAGGCTGCTATGAGCAAAAATAAATATTAGGTTGGTGCAAAAGCAACTGTGCCAACCTATACAAAGTGTCAGCCCAAGTCAAAAGTTTGTTCACTTGTCTAGATCAAGGAACGGCCAGCAAAATGTTTAGGATATTGCTGGGCTACACACACAGCTGCAGAAAGTCAGACCAAGGATGCAGTCGCAAGCTTGGGAATTCTTGGGGCAGGAAAAGGAGATGAACTATGCAAGACACCGGATGCCTGCTTCTAGAGTACTCTGGTGAAGGAATATCAAAGTTTACACTTTCCGTTCACTGCAGAAAAGTGAGGTGTTCCAATAATCATCAGGCAAAACCTACAGTTGTTCTCAGGTTATGTGACTATATTTAAAAAGCCACCCAACTAATGGAACACAAACAAAAAGCTACTATTTTCTGACCCACCCTACACTGTACCCAAGTAATCTGTTTCGGACAGGTCATTCCTTGCAGGTAAGATCAATATTAGCACACACTGTCCAAAAGCAAATCAGGCCAGTAAACTGTAAATTCTGTGAGAGCAGGGACCATGTGGATTTGCTCATTAACTTGGCATAATGTTTAGCTCATAGTAGATCAATTAACATTTGAATGAAATAATACACACCTGATAAAAATAACACTATCACAAATAAGCATAAATGATACATAGCATGGTAGTTGAGGAGGAGAAATATTACTTCCCACCAGGGTGCTCAGGAAAACTAGCCACAGTAAAAGAGATTTGAGCTAGATATTGTAGGATCACAATTATGATAAAAATGACTATGAAGATGAAGATGAGGATGCAAATAACAGTTAACTATATAGAGCTAACCATCTACTAGGCACCATCCTAAGCATTTTGATACATTAATTCATTAATCTCTAGTAAGCCTGTGAAGTAAAGCCTATTATCATTCTAATTTTTCAGATAAAACAGATTAGATGTGCTTTTGATTAACAGAAAAGTACAAGGAGAGCACAATAAGAACAAGAGATCAATAAACTCAGTAAATTCTAAATTAAAATGCAAATTACCCCACCCTTCATTGTCCACAGATACCCTCACAACAGCCACAGAGGCAGGGTAAATAAACGATGCCCTCCCAAAGAACATTAGTAGAATCTATTTATTGAATGTGCTGAATTCAAATGGCTTTTTTTCCCATCCCAGCCTTCAAACATGAGGTTTTTGGAGACACCTTGACAGCTCCTATAGTTCACTTAAATGGATAATTTCTTTCTAAATCAAACAACCCAATTTCAATGCAGTTCTTAGCTCTTCTATTGGATGGGATGAGCAATGAGGTAAAGCGTGAAAGGAGAAAGAATGATATTCATAAGACAAAGAAATAGAGCAGAGAAACCACTCTAAGTCCAGTGGTTTCTCTGCTATAAGTTCTAAACACAGCTTTCTCTTTGTATTAGTCTGTTTTCATACTGCTATAAAGAACTGCCCGAAACTGGGTAGTTTATAAAGGAAAGACGTTTAATTGACTCACAGTTCAGCATGGCTGCGGAGGCCTTCAGGAAACTTACAATCATGGCAGAAGGTGAAGAGGAAGCAAGACACTTTCCTCACAAAGCAGCAGGAAAAAGCAGTGCTGAGCACAGGGGGAAAATCCCCTTATGAAACCATCAGATCTCGTGAGAACTCACTCACTATCACGAGAACAGCATGAGGGAACTGCCCCCATGATTCAACTGCCTCCACCTGGTCTCTCCCTTGGCATGGGGATAATAGGGACTTGAGGTTTACAATTCAAGGTGAGACTTGGGTGGGGATGGAAAGCCTAACCATATCACTATTTTACTAATTACTTTCCCGTAGAAAAGTTGCTTAAATTCTTTGGGCCTCACTTTCTTCATCTGTATGAAAGGATTGGGTTGGGTCATCTTTAATATCCCACTTGTCTACTTCTATGTAGATTTCTTAGTGAACTGGAAATTAAGAAAGTACATCCATGTCCATTCAGGAACAGAAATCAAAGCTTCCATATCTGCTGGAGAAAACAGAAGTTGCTGCAGTGAGAATAGCATCAATTATTAGTTACACCTGCTCCATTACTTTGTCAATCCTTGACACTGAGCCAGGTGCAGTGGGAGCATTTGACAACCTGCTCTTACCTTCCTCACAGTTGTTAGGACTTTCATTTAATTTCAGTAAATTAAGAAGCTAGTTAGGAATTCACTGTGGGAGAGGCTATTTTTAAAACTTAAGAAAAATTATCACAGAGGTCACTGATGCTGAGACAAGCATCAGTTCATAACCGGCCTTCCCAGGTAAGTGCATGAGGTCAGTGCTTTATGATATACAAACAGCTGAGCAGTCTGGGACACACTTTGATGATGCTCAAATTATTAAACCTTGTTAACCTCTCAGGAACACTCAGGGGACAACTATAAATAATGATTCTGACAGGTTTCAGGGTTTATTTCTAAGTTATTATTTAGTATCCAAGAAATAAAAATTATAGTCTGCCAGCCTGACCAACATCATGAAACCCTGTCTCTACTAAAAATACAAAAATTAGCTGGGCGTGGTGACGCGCACCTGTAATCCCAGCTTCTCAGGAGGCTGAGGCAGGAGAATCGCTTGAACCAGGGAGGCGGAGGTTGCAGTGAGCCAAGATCGCACCACTGCACTCCAGCCTGGGTGACAGAGTGAGACTCCATCTCAATTAAAAAAAAGGTAGTCTGGATTCAAGATATCTGAGTTCTGATACTGGCCCTGCCATTGATTTCCTGTGCAATTTTGTGCAAGTCATCTAACCTCAGGAAGCCTGTTTCCTTATCTGCATAATAAAGGAGTTGAACTCAACATCATTCAAACAAACATATGGTACTCTACTAGGCACCTGGGAAACAAGAGTGAATACTAGTGTAGTATATTAGTGTATAAGTTCGGGAGCAAAATGCATGCAAATAACTGTGCTGGAGCCCAAATAACTAGATGGAGATACTGGTCCTTTCCTTTAAATGCTGGAATGCTATGCCACACCTCCTTCACCTATTTATTCATCATCCTAAGTCCTCTTTCCCAACAAAGACACAGAAAAAGGAAATAAACATTGCCCAGAAAGTGCTTGGCATACTCCTTCCTTGATCATACACTCGAATTCATTGAGAAACTGTCTTATGACTCATTCATTCAACAATCAGGTGCTAAAGATGAGCAGAGCAATGCCAGGAAGATCCAGATGTAAAAAATTGTCTGTCTTCAGGAACTCACAGGCTACTGAGAGACCGAAACAAACAGCACAGTGAGCACAATGACAGAGGATTACAGGATGCAATGGAAACACACAGGAATTGCACTTCCCCTAGAGGAGGGAAGCAAGGAATGAAGGAATACCTGAGAAGAAATTCTAACATACTGTTGTTTATTTTATCTTCTTATCAAAGATCTTATTAAAGCTAAAGTAATCCTATCTTGTTTATTACCTATTCCTCTGTTTATATGTTTATTTTCTTCCTTCCCTATAACTGTTTTCTGTTGCTACTATAACAAATTACTGCAAGTTTAGCAGCTTAAACAACACAATTGTTTTATCTTACAGTTTTGGAGGTCAAAAATACAAAATGGATTCGATAGGCTAAAACCAAGTCATCAGAAAACCATTCCTTCTGAGAAGGGGGAGAATCTGTGTCCTTACCTTTTCCAGCTTCTAGAGGCCATCCACATTCCCTGGCTCATGACCCCTTCCCTCCGTCCTCAAAAATGGCATCACACATCTTTCTGTACCTTTTTCTGTAGTCATAGCATTGTCTAACTAATTCTGTTCTTCTGCCTCCCTATTCTACTTTTAAGATTTTTTCTGTGGCTACAATTGGGCCCACCTGGATAATCCAGGCTAATTTACCTAATTTAAGGTAAGCCAATTAGCAACTTTAATTTCACCTGCAATCACACTGCCCTCCTTGCCTTGTAAACTAACGTATTCACAGGTTCTGGGGATTAATGAATGGATGTCTCTGAGGGAACCACTATTCTTCCTCCCACACTCCTCTTCTAGAAAAATTCATTGTGAACAGAAACTTTACCTTTACCCACTATTGTAGCTTCAACAGGTGGAGCAGCACCTGGCACACAGAAGATACTCATTAGTTGTTTGTTGATTGAATGGCTAATTGACAATGGTGATACCACACCAAAAAAAATCGTTAATTTTTTAATTAAAAATACTTTATTGATTAAAAATGCTAACAATCTGCCGGGCACAGTGGCTCACCCCTGTAATCCCAGCATTTTGGGAGGCCGAGGCAGGCGGATCACGAGGTCAGGAGATCGAGACCATCTGGCTAACACGGTGAAACCCCATCTCTACTAAAAATACAAAACAAAATTAGCCGGGCTTTTTGGCGGGCACCTGTAGTCCCAGCTTACTCGGGAGGCTGAGACAGGAGAATGGCGTGAACCGGGGAGGTGGAGCTTGCAGTGAGCCGAGATCTCGCCACTGCACTCCAGCCTGGGCGACAGAGAGGGACTCTGTCTCAAAAAAAAAAAAAAAAGAAAGAAAAAAAATGCTAACAATCATCTGAGCCTTTAGCAACTCACACTTTTTGCCAGTACAGAGTCTTGCCTCCATGTTGATGGCTGCTGACTGATCAGAGTGGTGGTTGGTAAAGGTTGGGATGGCTGTGGCAATTTCTTAAGACAACAATGAAGTTTACTGCATAGATTGACTTTTCCTTGCGATGTTCCTCTGTAGCATGCGATGCTGTTTCATAGCACTTTACCCACACTAGAGTTTCTTTCAAACTTCAGACAATCCTCTGGAACCCTGCCACTGCTTTATCAACTAAGGTTACGCAATATTCTAAATACTATGTTGTCATTTCAACAACGTTCACAGCATCTTCACCAGGAGGAGATTCCAGCTCAACAAACCACTTTCTTTGCTCATTCATAAGAAGCAACTCCTTATCCGTTAAAGTTTTATCATGAGATTTCAGCAATTTAATCACATCTTCAGGCTCCACTTTTAATTCTGGTTTTCTTCCTGTTTTCACCACATCTGCAGTTACTTACTTTTTATTTCAATAGCTTTAGGGATGCAACTGTTTTTTTGTTGTTGTTTGTTTTTGGTTTGTTTGTTTGTTTGTTTGTTACAAAGAATGAATTGTATCACTGAACTCTGGGATTTTAGTCTACCCATAACCCAGATAGTGTACACTGCACACAATAGGTACTCTTTTTATCCTTCACCTCTCTCCCACCTTCCCTACTTCTGAGTCTCCAATGTTCGCTATCCTACTCTGTATGCCTCTGCATACCCATAGCTTAGCTCCTACTTATAAGTGAGAACGTGTGGTGTTTGGTTTTCTGTTGCTGAGTTACTTCGCTTAGCATAATGGCCTCCAGTTCCATCCAACTTGCTGCAAAATACATTATTTCATTCATTTTTGAGTCTCAGTAGTATTCCATGTGTATATATACCACATTTTCTTT
Organism: Homo sapiens; assembly: GCF_000001405.40. Taxonomy (NCBI): domain Eukaryota; kingdom Metazoa; phylum Chordata; class Mammalia; order Primates; family Hominidae; genus Homo; species Homo sapiens. Next base: position 23,965,707 of record NC_000006.12, read on the forward strand.
ATCCACTCATTGGTTAATGGGCCCTTAGGTTGATTCCATATCTTTGCAATTGTGAATGGTACTGCAATAAACACGTGTGCAGGTGTATTTTTTATATAATGATTTTTTCCCTTGGGTAGATGCCCAGTAGTGGAATTGCTGGATTGGCTAGTAGATCTACTTTTAGTTCTTTGAGAAATCTCCACACCATTTTCCATAGAGGTTGTGCTAATTTAAATTCCCACCAGCAGTGTGTAGCATTCCCTTTTCAACACATCTGTACCAATGTCTATTGTTTTCTGACTTTTTGATAATGGCCATCTGGCTGGGGTAAGGTGACATCTCATTGGTGACATCTCATTGTGTGGTTTTAATCTGCATTTCCCTGATGATTAGTGATACTGAGCATTTTTTCATATTTGTTGGCCATTTGTATATCTTCCTTTGAGAAATGTATGTTCATGTCATTTCCCACTTTTAAATGGGATTATTTGTTGTTTTCATGCTGATTCGTTTGAGCTTCTTGTAGATTTTGGATATTAGTCCTTTGTCAGATGCATAGTTTGCAAATATTTCCTCCCATTCTGTAGGCTGTCTGTTTACTCTGTTGATAGTTTCTTTTGCTGTCCAGAAACTTTTTAGTTTAATTAGATTCCATTTATTTATTTTTGTTTTTGTTGCATTTGTTTTGGGGGGTCTTAGTCATAAATTCTTTGCATAGTCCAATGTCCAGAAGAGGTTTTTCTTAGGGTTTTCTTCTAGAATTGTTACTGTTTCCCGTCTTAGATTTAAGTCTTTAACCTATCTCGAGTTAATTTTTCTATGTGGTGAGAGATAGGGATCCAGTTTCACTCTTCTGCATGTGGCTGTCCAATTTCCCCAGTACCATTTATTAAATAGGGAGTCTTTTCCCCAGGATATGTTTTTGTCTGCTTTGTGGAAGATTATTTGGTTGTCAGTATTTGGCTTTACTTCTGGGTTCACTTTTCTGTTCCATTGGTCTGTGTGTCTACTTTCATACCAGTACCATGCTGTTTTGGTTACTATAGGCTAACATATCCCAGAAGACTTAAATATTATAGCACTATGGGAATAGAGGAGTAAGAGTTTCCTTATAAGAGCAGGTGCGGGTGTGGGATGCTGCATTTGCTTTCTATGGATGCTATAACAAAATATTATAAACGTGGTAGCTTTGAACAATAAAAATTAATTACTTTTAAGTTCAGAAGACCAGAAATCTAAAACCAAGGCATTAGCAAGGTCAATTCCTTCTGAGGGCTCTGAAGGAAAAGTTGTCCTAGGCCTCTCTCCCACCTTCTGGTGGTTGCCAGCAATCTTTGACATTCCTTTGCTTGTAGACACACCACTCCAATCCCTATCTCAATCTTTCCTTCACCTTCTTCTGTGTCTCTGTGTCCTCCCTTCTTCTTCCAAGGACACCAGAGGTTTTACAAGATCACCCTAAATCCAGGATGGGTTCAACTCAAGATCCTTAACTGATGACATCTGCAAAAGCCCTATGTCCAAGTAACGTCACATTCTGAACTTCCATGTGCACATGAATTTTGGGAGGAACCTATTCAACCCACTCCAGATGCTCTTCTTGTTCTATGACTTACAAATACAGTGCTTCTCAAGGCTCCAAATGGCCTCAAGATGGGTGTCTCTGGGTCTACAATGGTCAGAAGACATTTTCTACTATAAAGCTAACAGAGACTCTGCAGACATTTCTCCCCTTTTCTCCTGCATCATAGTTTTTGAAGTACTTCTTGGAAAGAAAATCGGCTGCACTAATATAGCTCTTAAAATAATTTATCTTTATCAATAAAACCTCAGGAAAATTAAACCATAAAGATATATTTCCAAAATGCACTATCGGTTTGAATGAAGTCCACAAAGGCTCCAAATCAAGAATGAAGCCTGGGGTGTGCGCCCTCTCCCTTCAGGAGGCTTTTCAACTCTTGGTAAAAGGATTCCAGATACAAATGGACTGCTGGCCTAGATTTGGATGTGGAAGAATGTAAATAGCTGTTGGCTTATTACAGTAGAAATCTCAAACCCTTATTGTTGCTTTCAGTCAGGTGGATTTTTTTTATGTGGCTCAGTTTTCTATAGTTGGTGATAGGAGAAATACCTTTTGTTTAGCCTAGCACAGTAAGTCGAGCTGCAGTCTCTCATCAGAATAGGGAGTGAAAAGATGGAACCCCAGGTGGTACAGACCTGAAGGTCCTTTCCTAATACAAAACTTAGGGCTTTACTGTTACAAAATATCAGAAAAGGCTAAGTGTTGACTTAAAAAAAAACGGTAAGGTCAAATCTACAGTGCTTTCCTGGGCAACATTCCTCAGTGCACCATTATTCCCTGTGTTCCTTGTAGCAAGGTGGACAGGTTCACTTATAAAGCATTTCAAGAGAATGAAATAGTAAATTATATTACAATTCCCAGAATTACAATTAGAAATTTGATAGGACTCTGTAGACTTTCTTCCCATATAATTCTATGGCTAGCCAACACAAGGAAATTTGGAGAAGATTCCTATAAAACAGATATTAAGAAAGGAAATGTTACTTTTTTGCTACCATCTTTTGTGTGAGGGATCGTTTTATTAATATTAGTTAGATTAAAAAGTATATTTGCTATAAAAGATCCAAGGCTTTGAAGTCCCTTGGTTTACCACTGTCTCTCCTTTACCAATATCCCCAAAACTATTCTTTTTTTTAACAATTACTAACCACTTTTATTTCTGAAATGCAGAAAATAGTTTCACCTCCAAATCAATGCACAGTGCTTTGCACATACCAGATAATCTACAAAAACTGGTTGACATAAATGAGACAGAAATAGAAACCAAGCTTCAGAAACTCACTGAATGAAACTGACAAAAAGAAGTAACATCATTTATTTATTCAAGAATAGAGGAGTTCTAGTTTTTGATGCAGGAATAACCCCTTTTCTTCTGAAACTCTGCTTGCCATCCAGGTGCATTCTTTGGAGTGAGAAAGGCAGAATTATTCATACTGTGGAATTTTATAAATTACAGCCCAGAAAAAAAAAAAACCAACCCTGATCCATTTCACTTCAAAGCCATACACTCTCAAGCCCCCTCATACATGTTAAATTTCTGAGTGTTGGGATATGTCATTCTTTGGCCTTCACAGGAAATTTGAGCAACCATACTGAACAATCAATATAAATCCTTTTTCTTTTCACAACATCCAAGCAATATTTTCCAACTTTGTTTTGAGTCACTCAAAGCAAGGTTTTTACAGTTTCTTTGATATGTACTTCTATTTAAAAACTTTTGTATTTCTGCCTCAAAATCTAATTCCCTTCTGAAATACATTTCTAAAACTATGTTCTAATAATACCGATTATAAGAAAAAGCATGCAGAGATACATGCAGACTTGAGAAATCGATGGCATTTGGAAGATAACTGGAACCATTCTTGTTGGAAGTGACTAGAGGAGTGTTGAATATATAAATCTAATCATTGATTCTAAATTAGTAATGACTGCAAGCCTCATTTTAAAAGACCTATATGCCAACATGTACTGAAGAATAGTGGAAAGGGCAATTTTTTAAAAAAAAGGGCCAACCAGCTGTGTAATTGTGTTGATACATGAATGCCTCTTCTTTGTAAATTTTTGAAACTTTTTCCTGGAATATTATCAAAGCTAATATAATAACTATATACCCACTACCCAGAATTAATATCAACATTCTATCATGTTTGATTCAGATTTTCATTTTTGTGAAAGATCTAAAATCTACAGATAAAATTTCACACTTCTCTGAACCCCTCCCCAACCTAATACCTTTCTATCTCCAGCATTAATCGCTGTCCTATATTAGCTGAGTATGCAATAAATATTTTAAGGTATTTGTAATCAATGTATATTTAAAGATAATAAATAAATGCATATATACAGAATTATAGAGGTTTTTCAGTTTACAGAAATGTTATTAAAGTCTATGCAACTTTCTACAATTTGCTTTTTGTTTTTACTTTAACTTAAATGTTTTGAAATCTATCCATATATATTCAATATAGTCCATTCAATTTAACTGATGTATTATATCCTGAATAAATAACTGGTTTATCAATTTTTCTCCACGTGAGCATTTGAGCTTTTTTCTCTCTCTCTTACAAATAATACTATCATTTGCACAATTACATACCCTAGAATTCTCCAAGACATATATCCACAACTGGAATTGTCAGAACATGGTGTACAAGGGGTGTTCAAAAAGTTCACGAAAAATGCGTACTATGAAAAATCTATGCATAGGTTTCAAATTTTTTGCACCAAAATAAACTCATATTAACTTGTTATAATATGTCTAAACAGCATTTAATTTGCGGCACTAGGAAGGATAAGATACCGGTTTGAAAAGAGCCCCTAGCAGAGCAACATGAATTCTGCTAAAATTGAAGTAAGAACACAGGTCAAACTTATGATAAAGCATGGGTAGAAGAATGGTGACATCATTAGCTGGGTGTGGTGGCACTTGCCTGTAGTCCCAGCTGTTTGGGAGGCTGAGGCAGGAGAATCTCTTGAACCCGGGAGGCGGAGGTTGCAGTGGGCCAAGATCACGCCACTGCACTCCAGCCTGGGCAATAGAGCCAGACTCTGTCTAAAAAAAAGAAAAAAGAAAAGAATGGTGAAATATTGATGCTTTAGAAAATGTTTCTGGGAATAATGCCCCAAAGAAATCAGCAGTTTACAAATAAATAGCTCATTTTAAGAGACACGACAATGTTGAAGCTCATAGCGGCAGACCATCCACGTCAATTTGCAAGGAAAAATGTATCTTCCTTGTGCCCTAATTGAAGAAGGCCAACATTTAACAGCAGAAACAATAGTCAACATCATGGACATTTCAGCTGGTTCAGTGTGCACAATTTTAATTGAAAAATTAAAGTTGAACAAAAATTAAAGTTGCCAGAAACATTGCACCCATTTCAGCTGCAGACAAGAGCACAGATTTAGACAGAAATTTTAAACAAGTGGGATCAAGATCCTGAAGTATTATTTTTTTGAAGAATTATAACAGAAGATGAAATATGGCTTTACCACTACACGCCTGAAGACAAAGCACAATCTAAGCAAGCAATGGCTACCAAGAGATGGAATTGGCCCAGTCAAGAGCAAATGTCATGGCAACAGGTTTTTGGGATATCAGGGAATTTTGCTTGTTGATTTTCTGGAGGGCCAAAGAACAATAAAATCTTATTATGAGAGTGTTTTTGAGAAGTTAGCCAAAACTTTAGCAGAAAAAAATCCTGGGAGAGCTTCACCAGAGAGTCCTCCTCCACCACAACAATGCTTCTGCCAATTCCTCATCAAATGAGGACAATTTTGCAAGAGTTTTGATGGGAAATCGCTAGGCATTAACCTTACAGTTCTGACTTGGCTCCTTCTGACCTTGTTTTTTGCATGTTTCCAAATCTTAAAAAATATTTGAAAGGTACTTAATTTCTTCAGTTATTAATGTATTTTAAGATGCAGAAAAGGCCTTCGATAAAATTCAACATCCCCTCATGTTAAAAACTCTCAATAAACTAGGTATTGAAGGAACATACCTCAAAATAAGAGTCATGTATGACAAACCCACAGCCAATATCATACTGAATGGGGAAAATCTGAAAGGACCCCTGTTGAAAACCAGCATAAGATAAGGATGCCCTCTCTCACCACTCCTATTTAACATAGTATTGGAAGTTCTGGCCAGGGCAATCAGTCAAGACAAATAAGTAAAGGGTATTCAAATAGGAAGAGAGGAAGTGAAATTATCTTTGTTTGCAGATGACATGATCCTAAATCTAGAAAACCCTCCCGTCTCAGCCCAAAAGCTTCTTAAGCTGATAAGCAACTTCAGCAAAGTCTCAGGATACAAAATCAATGTGCAGAAATCACTAGCATTCGTATGCACCAACAACAGGCAAGCAGAAAGCCAAATCATGAATGAACTCCCATTCACAGCTGCTACAAAAAGAATAAAATATCTGTCAGCACTGCATCGATTTCTGCATCCGGCTCCGGACACTTCCAGTCTTAGCTGGGCCCTTTTGGGAGGGTGTACTACAGACCTTCACATGTTGAACAGTAGGATTCAGCAGGGAATGAGTCCCACATCCTCCTTTCATCCATCCTTTCCCAACTCCTCTTCCACCTCCCACTGTTCTTAGGTCTACTTTACTGCTCAATCTGGATTTGGTGGACTCTCCTCCCAAAAAAACATTAGAAGGAGATGCCTAGCACTGAAATTTTGTCAAGAAGTGGAGGCTCCTGGAATGGAGGGACTTTCTGAGTAAAAAGAAACAGCCCCCTTGCAAGTCACCTAAGTTGCACTCTGAACCTCCAGAAAAGGGGGAAACTCCTAGGGTGGATGGCACTTGGAAGACCCCTCCCTTCCTAAAAAAGAAGAAGATCACTGCCTCCAGCAATGGGTCAGGACAGTCCCTGGACAAGAAAGCTGCAGTGTTTTGACTGATTCCTGCCTATTTGAAGAAGGCCGATTCTGTTGCTGCTAAACTAGATTTGTTGGGGGAGATCTGGAGTGCCCTTCCAAAGATTAATAGCCACCCAACCCACTCCCAGAAGAAGGGCTCCCGGAAGAAATCCTCTAAGAAGAATCATCCTCAGAAGAATGCACCACAGAACTCCACCCAAGCTCATTCTGAGAATAAATGCTCCAGAGCATCCCAGAAGTTGCCAAGGAAGATGATGGTGGCAATTGACTCTGAGATGGTGGGCACAGGACCCAAGGGGCATGTTAGTTTCTTGGCTCAATGTAGCATTGTCAACTACAACGGAGATGTGCTTTATGATGAGTACATCCTTCCCCCCTGCCACACTGTGGACTACTGGACCAGATGGAGTGGTATCCAGAAGCAGCACATGGTGAATGCCACACCCTTCAAGATTGCTCGGGGCCAGATCTTGAAGATACTCACAGGGAAGATAGTGGTGGGGCATGCCATCCACGACGACCTCAAAGCCCTTTAGTACTTTCACCCCAAGTCCCTCACCCATGACACCACCCATATCCCCACCTCCTCAACTGGAATGATCCCATATCCCCCGACATGACCACCCAGAGAATGCCACCATGTCTCTGAAGCATCTCTCCAAAAAGCTGCTAAACTGGGATATCCAGGTTAGGAAGAGCGGATATTCCTCTGTGGAAAATGCCCAGGCCACCAGGGAGCTGTACAAGTTGGGTGAAGTCCAGAATCCCCCTAAAGACTAGCAGCAGTGGGGACGCTCGTGATGTGGGGAGGCAGAGGCAGTGCCCAGGAGAAACAGGGCAGCAGAGCAATGGACAGCTCCACCAACTCCACATCTTTGGAAGCTAGAATTGTGGGGGGAGAGAAGCTCTACCCCAGGCTTAATATCCACTGAAATTTCACCTCTGGTGTTGTGTCCTGTGTCTGGTTAAGTGTCCCATGGAAACAGGAAGCCTTCACATCAGAACACAGCCCTACACCATTTACTTCTAAATGGTGCTAGCCACAGGTGCCCCAGGGTGCTCTGTGCCAGTCAAGATTTTTAACTTTCAAGGGGCAGGGCATGCTAGGAAATGTAGTTTCCCAAATTGCCTTATCACTTGGGTGGACATATGTCTCTTTTTATGCCTTTTGGTCTTGAATAATTAACAGCTAAAGTAATTGCAACAAAAAGAAAATTTACAAATGGGATCGAATTAAACTAAAGAGCTTCTGCACAGCAAAATAAACTATCATCAGAGTGAATAGACAACCTCCAGAATGGGAGAGAATTTTTGCAATCTATCCATCTGACAAAGGTCTAATATCCAGAGTCTACAAGGAACTTAAGCAAATTAACAGGAAAAAAAAAAAAACATTAAAAAGTGGTCAAAGGATATGAACAGACACTTCTCAAAAGAAGACATTCATGTGGCCAACAAACATCTGAGAAAAAGCTGAACATCACTGATCATTAGAGAAATGCAAACCAAAACCACAGTGAGATACCATCTCACACAAGTCAGAATGGCGATTATTAAAAAGTCAAGAAACAACAGATGCTGGTAAGGATGCAGAGAAAAAGGAAATGCTTTTACATTGTTGGTGGGAATGTAAATCAGTTCAACCATTTTGGAAGATGGTATGGCAATTCCTTAAAGATCTACAAACAGAAATATCATTTGACCCAACAATCCCATTACTGTGTACATACCCAAAGGAATATAAATCATTCTATTATAAAGATACATGCACATCTATGTTCATTGCAGCACTATTCACAATAGCAAAGACATTTTATCAACCCGAATGCCCATCAATGATAGGCTGGGTAAAGAAAATGCAGTACTTATACATCATGGAATACTATGCAGCCATAAAAAGGAATGAGATCATGTCCTTTGCAGAAACATGGATGGAGCTGGAAGCCATTATCCTTAGCAAACTAACACAGGATTCATTTTTCTATTGAGCTCTTTAAGATTTGCAACATATAGTAATATTTTTGTGTCTAGTGATTATTGATCTGCGTTGTATATTGCAAATGTCTTCCATAGTTCATCTTTTAACTTAATGTCTTTTTTTTCAGCAGAAGGTTTTAAACTTTATAAAACATCAAAGTTTGTCTTTCTTTATAACTTCTTGCTCTGTCTGACTTAAGAAATCCTTTCCACCCTGTGGCCATACATATACCAAATATATTTTATTCTAACATTTTGAATGTTTAAGACTCTAATGCATATCTAGGACTTTTTAAAATTGTATAAATGTATCCATTTACATAAATTGAATTTCATAAATGACATTAAATTTATTTGTAAATATTATAAATTAAATATTACCTATTAATGTAGTTTACATGAAATAATATATTTTTGAACATTTGGAATTTTAATGTATATTACAGTATTTAATGTATATTTAGAACACATATATTTTATACAATTTTTTCTTTCTTTATAAGTTCTGAAGGTGTCTGGTTTAAGAGATCCTTCCCTATCCTGTGGTTATGATATTTTACTATATTTTATTCTAATTTTTGTGTTATTTTATTTTTTGTTATGGAAAATCAAATAGATTGAACTCGGTGTTTGAAATGGGCTATGGTCCCATGCAGGCTTAGGTCTAGCTAAGTGCTCTCTAGCTGCTCTATTTATTCTCAGACAAATATATTTATGTAGATTTATTAGCAGACTGGCTCTGGCACAATATTAGGGCAGAAATACTTATCATGCTGCTAGATTTAATAGGAATGCTTCTGAAGTTTCTTCCATTAAATACCACACCATAGTTTCCTGAACATCTCCTTCTAGTCCTAATTTGCAAAAGATTTTATCATAAATACATGCCGAATTGTATTGATTGTTGCTTATTCTACAACTGTAGGAATTGATTATGCTTTTCTTTATTCTGTAAATGTGGTGGATTAGATTTATAAATTTTTGTGAATGTCAGCCAGCCTTCTATTCCTAGGATAAGTCCCATTTTACTTCTTATTTATTCATTTATTTTAAATGTCTACATTTTGCTATTTATGATTTTTTACATGTACATTCATACATAAAATTAGACTATCTTATTTTCATGTATTATAATAAATTATGTCACTAAGTTTGTACTAAGCTAATAAAATAAGCTATATCTCTCTTCATATTTTTCCCTTTTCTAAAACAGGAAATATCTACTTAGTAAAATTTCAGCAAAATTCACTTATAAAACATTCTGAACCAGGACTCTTTTTTTTATGGGGGAGATTCTTGACTAGGAAATTAATTTCTTCACTTTTAATTGCTTCATTCAGAGATTTAAAAATTTCTTCTTGAGTTAGTTCAGGTAATAATGTATATATTTATTTTTTAAGTGACCATGTATCCAAGCTTTCAAATTTGTTCATAAGTTTATGTTATGTGTTTCTAGTACTCTCATGATTTGCATACTGTCTTATCTAATTGGACTCTTTTCAGTCAGGAAAGACAAATGTAGGCTAGACTTTTCATTAAGTCATTATTCCATCTAATCAATCATTGAATCATCAAACATGCATTGATTTTGAAAGGTACAGCGAAAACAACTGATACAACCCTCCAAGGCTAGGAATCAAAATTTGATGAGTTTAAGTAGAGTTTGTTATGTTTTAATGAACAATATTTATCTTTTTTGGTTGTCGGTCTTTGTTATATCACAATCTATGTATTATCTGCTTGCACAATATTGTATAAATATAAGCTTTGATAAGCAAACATTTCAATAAACATTCTTAATTGTAGGGGGAAAAAATCACTGGGTAGAAAAAATGTGATACTTTCTTTTATTTTCCAATACCATTAGTCATGAAGAAATAACCAAGGGACCACCTCCAACTGGAGGAAGCTGTGATAATTCCAGGACATAGAAAGCAATACCTTTTGGAATAGCAATATCTAAATTCTAAGCCTATAATACAAAGTGAATAAAGGTCATCGATAATTACTTTTCAAAAGCTCAGAAAACAAGCAACTGTTTTACAAATTAAACAGAGCACCCAAAATTGAAATTATTGAGTTGACTTTTGTTTTTTTGTTGTTGTTGTTTCTATTTTTTTTCTTCTTTTGAGACAGGGTCTCACTCTGTTACCCAGGCTGGAGTGCAGCAGTGCCATCACAGCTCACTGCAGCCTTGCAGCGTAGAACTCCTGGGTCTGAGTGATCCTCCCACCTCAGCCTCCCAAGTAACTGGGACTACAGGTGCACACCACACGCCTCGCTAATTTTTTTTTTTTTAATAGAGACAAGGTCTAACTATGTTACCTGGGTTGGGCTCAAACTCCTGGCTTCAAGAGATCCTTCCACCTTGGCCCCAAAGTGCTGAGATTATAGGCAGGATCCATCACACCTGACTTTTGTTTTAAAGCAATATTTTCTTTTTTTTTTTTTTTTGGAGACAGAGTCGCTGTGTCGCCCAGGTTGGAGTGCAGTGGCATGATCTCAGCTCACTGCAATCTCTGTCTCCCAGGTTCCAGTGATTCCCCTGCCTCAGCCTCCTAAGTAGCTAAAAAGAAAAATAGTTTTCTATTTTTAGTAGAGACAAGGTTTCACCATGTTGGCAAGGCTGGTCTCGAACTCCTGACTCGAACTCCTGACCTCAGGTGATTCGCCCACCCCAGCCCCCCAAAGTGCTGGGATTGCAGGCATGAACCACCACCCCTGGACTAAAGCAACATTTTCTAAAGAAGTGACTTGCAGACAATGATTCCTCAAGAAATTCTGCAAGGGAAGTGGAGGGCAGGCTGTTTCAATCAAAATATATAGAAAAGACTGCTCACAATTCCCTACTCTTAGAGATTTAAAATGCAAATAAACATAACGTTTTGAGAAATTTTGCAATAAAGATACCTGTTAATCTTTGTTTAACCCAATGTTTCAATGTTACTTAATCACAGACCCACTTTATTTTCCATGCAGCATCTATTTGGGGTCATGGAATGTGCTTTGAGAAACACTACTGGAGTGGCATTTCCTAGAACTTTAGAACATAAAACAGAAAACACACATAGGAATCAATGTGATAACTTACAGATAGGTTCATAATTAATATAGAGAGAACAACCAAAGTTCAAAGCACTAGCCCTTAATAGTAGTGAAATTACACGACTCTCTCAAAAAAAACAGAGTTAAAATTCTCATCCATTTGCATATCCAAAGTGCCGCTTTCCAAAAACATAGTGTGGCTAATGCCCTATTAATGAAAGAGAAGAATCATAAAAGCTTTTTTCTCTTTCAGTTCCACACATACACGCTTTGGAGTGGGGTACGAGGGGTGCAACATTATTCTTTCTTTAGACCACAAAAAGGCTACAGTATTAAACCATCCCTAAAACTGGCCACATTTAAAATCCATTAATATAACCAAATTCCTGTATGTATCTCTGTCAATATGGGTCTCCTTTTTTATTGAATTTTCTTAGGGCAATTAACTAGAGCACTCTAACTAAATAGACTTGTATTTATTTAAGTACTGCTAGAGATATGAAAAAAAAAAATTTTGAAACCACACATACAGTCTCTTGCCAGGATCTAGGGAATGCTGACCTGTCTGAATGTCTCTTTTCTTTCTCTTGATCATCTATCTTTAGACTCAGGAGGACCAAAAGTAACTGAATAAACATTATCTTGTCCTTGGCCTTCACCAAGCAAAATTGTTTATATCTGAGACCATTTCCCTTTAGAGTCTGAGATCATTATTTTAAAGTAGATTGTCAAATGCTCCACAGTTGATCTCAGTTCAGCTCTGCCATTTGCTGCTCTGTGAACCAAGTCCAGGGCATGACATTAAGCCTGTGACTATATAACATGAGAAAAATGTTTTAAGACAGAATAAAACATCACATACAGTTTCTGGCAGTGAATCTTAACAATTGAAATATCGTTGTCCAAGGAAACACTTCAAGATACTGTTACAGAAAAATGACAACCATGCCTACCCCATAGGCAGTTGTGAGAATTTAATGAGATGATGGATGTGAATGAGCACAGTGCAATAACATGCACAGATTTTCAATAAATGGTTTGAATCACAATGTAATGAAATGTATTTAATCCAATTCAGTATGTGCATTTCAGGAAATAGTGTGTCTACCTGCCTGCATGTTCTCGCAATTGTGCACTGCCTAATTTTTATCTTTCTCCATGTTTATACTCCATCCTACAATCTGGGTCAGTCTTATATATAATTAGGAAAAGAAGATGCCTGTATAATGTTGCCTGATGCATACAAAACAAAGTCCCCAATTCTGAAACCTCTCCTTTTTAATGTGATGTAGTAAAATTTAAATGTTAGTATCCACATCTTAAGAGAGCATTATACTATATAAAATGTGTGCCATATATTATCTCATATAATCTCTTCAATCACTACTAGTTAGGCAGGTCAAGTCCTTTGTACCCATTGTTCAGATGAGTGACATAAGACTTAAAGAGGTTGTATCCAGGCTGAACAGCCCCCCAGCCACCAAACCAACCTCCAGAATGGCAGCATAAAGAAGGTTGGTCCAGTGCGTACTCCTCATTCAGTCTTTGGGTCTGAACAGTTCTTCCCAGTCTGTTCCCCTCATCTGAATCCATCTTGTTTCTGACACTTCAGGCTGTCAATTGGCTCCTCATTTCTTCACTTTTATCCTCTTGAGAATCTCCAGTTTTATGCTTGGCACTACTTCTGGATCGCCACTCAAGTTACACAGCCTCATCTACTGTTCTCACTTACTCTGGGGCCCTGAATACTCTGCATTTGGTCTCCCTGCCCTAAGTGTCCATCTTCCTCCCAAGACGGAGCTTCCAATGAGGTTTGCGGGCATTGAGCAAGAAGCAGGTATGTGGCACATTGAGTATCTGCCCCAACATGGTCTGTCTTTTCTGTAGCAAAATCGGAACTGATAACTGAAACCAGCATACTTTCCAGTGCTAAACAATTCTGAGACAAAACCAGGTTTCCTGTTCCTGCGTGAAACAATTCCAAGACCAAACATAATTTCCAGTTTCCTAATTTCCTAAACAATTTCCAATTTTTAAATTTTTAAACAAAAATGGGACTAGGCAAAAACAACAGCTCTTTGCTCCAGGAAATACTTGCTCCTGGTTGGTAAGTGTAAACGAATTAAACTGATTTTAACTTCTGAAGCTAACAGTTGACACACAATGCTTGCTTCAAGACACCTAGCCTTGCCTATGCCCACCAGTCCAAAGCCATTTGTCAGAAATTCTGTCCAGCTCCACCAGTAAGTTACCAACCTTACAAAATCCACTTAAAAGTACCCAGCCCAGGCCCCCCAAATCCCTAGAAATAGCCTCCCCTGACTTGCTCCTACTGAGACATTGTAAAGTCACTATCTTAGTGTCTTCCCTTACTGCAACAAGTCTAATAAACTTACTTTTGCTTGATCAACACGTTTTTCTCGTGATCTTTTTCACAGTCAACAAACACAAAGTGACCCCAACATCAGTGTTTATCTTCTAAATTACCTGATTCTTTGTCATAGGATTTTTTTATATGCATGGATCAGAGTTCTCCTTTAAAATGTGAGATTTATTTGTTGCCACTAACATTTAGTTCAAGTATATTTATGTACAGCACATACTCCACTGAATGGCACATGACACAGTTTATATTAATAATAGCACCAACAACAATAGCAACTATCTTTACTATCTTTTATGCATCTTTCAAGCTCCAGACATTTTATATACATTATTACATTTGTTTCAACCATCATGTCAGCAAGACAAATTATATACTCCATTTCACATGAGGAAACTGAGGTTCTAAGAGATTAAATAACTCTCCTAAACTCACACAACTAGCAAGATTCAAATCCAGGCAACCTGCCTGCATAACCCAAGTTCATGAATGTACAGAACTGTTTAGAATTTTTAAATAGTTCTGATCTCAAAAAACACTATGTTTCTACTAAGCAAAATATCCTAAATGAGTGAAAATGACAGAAAAGATATAGGACTTCCGGAAGGAGAACAGGGTAAAATTTGTTTTGTGGGGGTTGAGTGGTGTGCCTGTGAGGGAAGGACAAAGGCCGAATTGCATGCTGATCAGCCAAGGAGTAAATTTGGCAACGATGTAGAGAAATAAGACTTCTATACTTTGCTGGTGGTATTGTAAATTGGTACAATCTCTATAGAGAGTTCTTTGGCAACATCCAGCAAAATCACACACGTAAACACACACATACTTGCTTGTATTCACATAAAACATGTCTACAAAGATAGACAAGAAACTGACCAGATGAGTTATCTCTGTGAAGGGTGCTTGGAGCCTGGGGAAAAGAGTTATGAAGGAAACGTTTTCCCTGTGTAACTTTCATATGTCTTGAATATTAAACCATGTGAATGTTTTCCTTATTGAGGATATAAATGTAATTTTAAAGTAATAAACAGAATAGATGTTTTTTAAAGAGACCTCTAATCCTGCTAGTTTAGAATCAAAAGTAACTGGTGGTATTATACCCACACTCCCCAATTGCTTAGCCCTATTCCCAAACATCTGCTGGCACGTATTTTATAGATAAATTTCTGGTAAATATAAAATATTATAATTTCATTAATCTGAAAATGTTAGTAAATCTCAGAACTCTGATGCATACATATGTTTTACCTAATAGTCTATTCAATGTTTATTTTGATTTCAGTATTTTAAAGAAATATTTTTATACCCCACCTTCCCAGATTCCTTCAAGATTTACAAAGAGCATGAACAAAAAGCATAGGGAAGGAATATGTCTTCTTCTGCCTGCAGTAGAGCTTGTTTTACTTAAATGGTGAGCCTGTTTTACTTCGGATAGGAACCTTCATTTCATCTGGGATTCAAATTGCTTTTGAAGTGAAGGGAAGTAATTTGCAAAGCCTGCAGAGCCTCTACATTTTTATGAATACATGTAAGAGGATGACTCAACTTCAGGGAAAGGTGGAGCAGAATTGTCTCCTTCAGTTCTGAGCTCCTTGTGTGGGAGGCAGCCACTGGGAGGGCATGTACACATGACTACTTAACTTCTTCCTTAATCTGGGAGAGGCCATGGAGAAACTGGATGAGTGAGAAGAGACATCTACACTTGCTCTTGGATGTTGGCACATGCCCTGTAACCACTGAACCAGTGCTTTGGAGTAGAAGGAGGCACAAGAGTGCTACTGAGCAACTCCTGAATGCCCACCCTGCTGCTGCCATTCAGGGGCCATGGCCACACCAGAAGAGAAAGCACAGGGTGAGACCCCAAAGCTGAGGGACCTCTGACACATAGGACCTGAGATTCTTTGTGGGGAGAGCACATTTCCCTAACTCAAAGGCCACAGCCCTAGAAAAATAGGCCATCATGGAAAGCCTTACATTACCCACTTTACAGTATTAGTGCAATCTTCAATGTCATTACTCCCTATTATTGTGTGTCTCTATGTGCCAACCACAACAGTGGGCATTTTGCATACATTTGCTCTAATTGTCACAATGACCCTAGAGGGTAAGCATAATCTCTAATTTTCAAAATGAAGAAACTGAGGTGCCGAAAAAATAGGTGACCTACCAAGATCATGTGTTAGAAGTGAATGAGAACTCAGGGCATTCTGACTCTTTATACAACAGGACCTCTTTATAAATACTCAGGTTGGGCCAGGCGCGGTGGCTCACGCCTATAATCCCAGCACTTTGGGAGGCCGAGGCAGGTGGATCACCTGAGTTTGGGAGTTCGAGACCAGCCTGATCAACATGGGGAAACCCTGTCTCTACTAAAAATACAAAATTAGCGGTGCATGGTGGTGCATGCCTGTAATTCCAGCTACTCTGGAGGCTGAGGCAGGAGACTCGCTTGAACCAGAGAGGCAGAGGTTGCTGTGAGCCGAGATTGTGCCCTTGCACTTCAGCCTGAGCAACAAGAGTGAAACTCCGTCTCAAGAAAATAAATAAATAAATAAATAAATAAATAAATAAATACTCAGGTTGGAATAATTTCCAAAATGATTGACAAAGATTGACAAACCAAAGTAGCATCAAATGTATTTGAAGTCTACAAATGGTACCGGTGGGCGGCACAATCTCTCAGCTTCCTGCACTGAACATCTTTGCAGCTCACTCACAGTCACTTGGCAAAGAGCAAGTCATTTTCTGCATCTCATCCATCACCTCTCTTGTGTCTTGAGACATTCACCACTCTCACTTTCAGAATGAAGAGCTATCGTCTAGCCAGGACCCTTTCTATGTCATCCACACCCCCTCAGCTTTTCTGAAGCCCAACTTCCTTTGAACCAGCTATGTGTTTGAAGCATGAAATCTTCTTTGAAAGTCACTATTTTAGGAAAGCAGGAGGTAAAAAAGAGTCTACTGCCCAAAGCATTCACTTTTCTCCAGATGTGTCTCTTTTCTTAGCGACGAGTCCATCTCAAATAAAAGTCCTCTGCACAGCGTTTCCACTCTGCACGTCTCAGGTATCTGCCTTCCTTTCTTTTCACAAAACATCTTCTGAACTTCAGGTTTTCTCCAGGAAAGATGTTACATTTTCTACATTTCTCTCACTACACATTAAGAATCTCCCTTTAGTCACCACTATGGGTTATAATGGTTTAGAAAGAACTGATGTAACATGTACGTGTCAGCAAAAGACCTGGCCTCTTCTCTCTTATTCATGCCAGAATTGTGCCATAAAGGAGTTTAGCTTTCTCAAAATCCAGAAAGACACATTGGCTGTTGGTCCCTTATGCCTTATGCACACGTGCGCACACACACGTCAAATCTCATGCATTTTCCAGGCTTTCAGAGTCAAATTCCATCCTCCTGTTTTGGAGAATGTTTCCCTGACTTACCTATCCCTTAGTGGGCTTTCCATCCTCCGATCAAATTACAGCATTTATTATTTACATTCTTTGGCACTTAACATATACAATAATATTTTCAAGCAAACAATTATTAACTCTTTACATTATAAATTCCTTGGGAATAGGAACTAGACATTGTCTTTTGGCACTCAAGATACTGCCTTGCCCTGAACAGACACTGGGGAAGAATAAGTTTAAACATGAAACAATTTTTATTTTTAAAATTTTTTTTTTTTTGAGACTGAGTCTAGCTCTGTCACCCAGGCTGGAGTGCAGTGGTGCAATCTCGGCTCACTGCAACCTCTGCTTCCTGGGTTCAAGTGATTCTCCTGCCTCAGCCTCCTGAGTAGCTGGGATTACAGGTGCCCACCACCACACCTGGCTAATTTTTTGTATTTTTAGTAGAGATGGGGTTTCACCATGTTGGCCAGGCTGGTCTGGAACTCCTGACCTCAGGTGATGCAGCCACCTCAGCCTCCCAAAGTGCTGGATTTGCAGGCAAAACAATTGTTTTTTTAAACTAAAATTTAAAATGCAAATATTCTTATAAATATCGTGTC
This sequence comes from Homo sapiens, assembly GCF_000001405.40. Classification (NCBI taxonomy): domain Eukaryota; kingdom Metazoa; phylum Chordata; class Mammalia; order Primates; family Hominidae; genus Homo; species Homo sapiens. The sequence goes on from NC_000006.12 coordinate 23,983,579, forward strand.
CCTTGGAAGTAGTAAACGAATGTTATACTACACTTATTCAAAGATACCTCTAGTACTCAATGCATGCATACTAATCCTCCTGTTTTATTATCTTTACAATATTTTTAATTTGCTGAAAAGTAATTGTCAAAAGTTATCACAAACCAGGAATTTTGATAGAGACTGAAGAGTCAAAGCACCAAAATATCAAGAAACCTATAAACCACATGAAGAATAAAGACACGTGAAAAGGGAGTAGAGAGATATGTGCTGTCACTGAGGTGTTAAGCAATTGTTACAGCAGCACAGAACACAACCAGTTCTCACCAGGAGGTTCTAGAGGTCAAAGGACAAGTGAGAGCTTTACAGAGAGAGAGAATGGGAAGGGCATTTCGGAGCATGAAGTACACATGGCAAACTTGAGGGCAGGCAAGGATGCTGGGGCTAATCTTCATGCTTTGAAAACCAATCTGATTTTTGTGGGGGCAGGGACTTGTCAGATATCTTTGAAAGCCAAGTCTGATAAACAAAGTAGTAGATAAAATGTTGGCAAAAACCATTTGAGCCCAAGCAGACATCATAAACTGGCTCTCAGGGAGTGTCTAAGATAGAATTTATAGATGTGAATGACAGCAATACAAATAATTACTTAGAGTATAAACCCTCTTGTATGCATACAGTTTGATAAGCGTGTTTAAAAATTAGTCTTAACTTCTTTCAATCCAAACTTTGTATTTACTGTTCAACTAAAGAATGTGTGAAGAGTAGAAATTAATAAAATCCTGATTTCAAGTTATGTTTGAGATTATTGGCCCAATTACTGTGAAGAGTCCATGGACAGTTGGAAATGCTTACACATATTGAAATAACAGTGCACCTTTCTCTTAGTTTCAAACTATATATTGCTTGCAACTTAAAGGCAAAGAAATAAAATCTTTTGAGCTTTTTCAAAGATATTTGTAAGGTATTATCTCATGCTATAGTTGTGGTGATTTTATTATATATTGTCAAAAGAATAAGCAAATTATTGTTCAAAACTTGTCAGAAGCTGAATTTATTTCTTTGGATTATTAAATAACTAAATGTTTATGGTAGAAGGTGTGGAAAATACTGGATAGACCAAAGAAAAAGAATAAAAATCACCATGACTCTACTGCAGTCATTATTTTGGTAAATGTCCCTCCTGGTCATTTTTCTTTTCATTTGTACTTGTTTTTCAAAATTGCCACCATTAGTAATACATGTTTTAGGTCATAATTATTTTATGTAATAATTGATTATGAATGTTGACTGTGAGAAATTCAAATTTAGCTTCTCCAAATCAGAAAGAAAAAGAGAAAAATTTTCAAGCTGGCAATGGAGTATCCATTTTTTCAATATTAAGGAATAACCAAAATGCTTCATTAACTATGATGTCCTACTCGGCAAGTATTCTGTGAGGGCAGCTTATTTGGCAAAGCCCCTGTAGATTTAAAATAACTAGCTCCACCGGCATGGCATATGTATACATATGTAACTAACCTGCACATTGTGCACAGGTACCCTAAAACTTAAAGTATAATAATAAAAAATAAATAAATAAATGAACATACAAAAAAAAGAACTAGAACCTTACAATTAAAAATAATAATAAAATAATATAAATAAATAAATAAATAAATAAATAAATAAATAAATAAACTAGCTCCAAATGGATCACTTGTTTTACTTCCTAAAGACAAAAGATTTCTACTTTTAATGGCACGCGGATTTAATTTCTTCCACACTGCCTTGCGCTGGGATGCCATCCAGTAGAATGACCATAACAACCATCAGCTCACATTTGGCCTTTGTTGAGATAAGTCCTGTTTTGTAGCTCAAAGGTAATTTTCCCTGTAAATTCAATTTTATATCATTGGAATAAAAACAAGTGAATAAATATTAAAGCATTTAATGGAAAAAAATAATTTTCATGGAATTAGATAACACTTGAAGAATTTTCAACAGAGAAAAAAATCAGAAATAAAGTTTAAACTCACTGAATGGAGACAAGAAAATTAACTGACATACTGTATAAAGTACACTGATTGTTAAATAACCAAATATTTATGTTAGAAGGTGTGGAAAAATACTGAAAATCTGAAAGAAAAGCAATAAAAACCAGCCATGGCTCTATTATAGCCACTATTTTGGAAAATATCCCTCCTACTCTGAGATGTCTGAGATCCATCCAAGTTATTACATGAGATAAAATCCACTTTTCATTATTTGTTTAGTGTGTATTTTTCAAATTCCAGATTATGACCCTTTAGATTTCAGATTGTAAAATTGATTTAGTGTATCACAACTAGCATTTTACAATTTGAAATAGAAGAGAATAGAATTGAAAATATGAGTAAGCATAGGGTCTAAAACTTTTATTTCGGATGTATACATCAGTGGGGAGGTAGGTCCTGAGGAGGTCTGTAGGTCACGATTTTAAACACTTGAAAATCCCTGCTCAGAGCAGAATATTTCAAGTGTCATCCTAATCGTGGACTTGGAAAGATTACAGCTAAATGGGGGCTATTGATTCCATCAGCTCTCAAGGTGAACAACCAGGGCATGAGTTGTGGGAGCCCCTAGACCAAACTTCTGCAGCAGTGGGAGGTCTTGCCTGGGGCTGCTCAGAAGACATCCTGAAGATAGGGGCATCTGACGGTGCTAAGCTGGTGCCCATAGCCAGCACTCACAATGAGGGCATCTAACACGTGCTGCTCGCTCCACAATGTTCTGATTCTGGCTGACTTAGTCTATTTGTACTACTGTGATAAAAATGTATGAAACTGGGAAATTTATAACAAACAAAAATTTGTCTCTCATGATTCTGGAGGCTGGGAAGCCCAAGATCAAGGCTCTGGCAAGATGATATTAGTGGAGGGCTGCACTCTGCTTCGAAGATGGGGCCTATTGCTGCATCTTCCAGAGAGAAGGGATGCTGTGTCCTCACATGGCTTAAGGGACAGAGAAGGTGCTCCCTTCAATCTCACACTTTTTGAAGGGTGCTAATTCCACTAATGAGGGCAGAGCCCTAACGATTTAATCACCACCTAAAGGCCATGTCTCTTAATACTGTTGCATCAGGGATTAAGCTTTAACATAATTTTTGGAAGGGACTCCATCATTTAAACGATAGCACTGGCCAAGATGACCATGTGAACATGCAGTTCGGCAGCCAGCTGAGATCACACTGCTGCCACTGTGGACACGGAGCCATGAAGGAGTTAATTTTCCAGGTTCTTGAGGATCAGAAAACATGGCTTAGGTAAGTGGGAAATAAAGGCAGGCTCTCCCTGCAGGTCCAGGAAGGAGCCCCAAATCTCTGTGTTCACATACACTAATCATATCTATCCTTTTGCAATGGATATGACCTTTTAGTGACATCCAAGCCAGCTCTAAAGTGACTGCTTTAACAATCACATGGATTTTCTGCAAATTAAGTTTGATCTTTATTTTGAAAAACTTGATATAAAAATACTGTGATAAAATTCACAATCCATTCACATTATCACAAGAAATTTCATCATTATATTTATTAATGAAATAGAAAGAATTTTGGACTCAACATATGTTGAACATTATACATTTTTGAATAACTGTAAGAGGAGCTTTAAATTTTATATCACCTACTTGTGCAAAAAAAATTCTTATACATGATAACTCTTAAGAATTGAAAAAGATTATTATTAAAGAGTCTCAGTCAGTAGTTTCCTTAGCCATTTCAAATACAGAACCTGATATGAAATGGTAATGTTCACATAAGCAAGCTCAAATGTATCACTAAAAATTTTGAGTGGAAATTATATGCAAATTCAATTTGGAAAATTTTATCCAAATTCAATAACTGTGATTTTGTTTCTATTCCATAATAAAATATGACATAAAGGAAGTATAATGACGTTTCTTAATCAAACCCCCATTAAACATCAGATCCCTTCCAGTTTACCCTGGTATGCAGTACTCTATATGCCATGATAAAAATAATTCATAGAAATTGGCATCAGCTAACAAAACAATAATTGGAATAAGTCATTTTTGCCCAGCCTCTGCGACTCTTTCTATCATGTTGAAGACCAGTGCTGGTTGATTTGAACAAGGCTTGGAATTTATCACTGATACATGTGTAGATACTGTTTGGGGAAGAATATAAAATTAAAAGGAGCAAGGCTTTCATAAAGAATTGCAAATGATTGTTGTCACCACCCTTTCAATGCAGTGGTAATAATGATTTCTGCAGCTTACTCAGGATAAATTTTATGACATGGTTCTGCAATTGATGTGGCTCAGCTGGTGGATCCATTAGAGACACTAGACAAGGTACAGTTATCTCTAATCAGAGTAGCTACAATATCTGAAGAGATCCTTTACTGGAGATTTTATGAATAAAATAAAAGTGTCCATTGAGAAAGACAGGTCTTTTATATTCATTTTACTTTAGAAATACCTCAAGCAGTGTTGTAGAGCACAGTCTGAATATGCTTTACAGCTGGATTTGGTAGATATTCACAGCCCATTTACTTAAAAGAATGGCCTCTGATGCAATCCATTTTCCATTCTCTTCTTGCAGGACCTTCTCATCTTCTTCTGTGCTATGTCAGTCTTACACTGTGTTTTCATCACTTGATTTGGGCCCTTTATATTTGACAGTCTGTCTTATTTGCTAGTGTAATAGTTTAGAGTTCCCTTTGTGAGAACAGAGACTGACCACAGACATGGGATTTCAAAATAAGGCTTTTTATGTATAAGAACCACATTGCAGCCGGGCATGGTGGCTCACACCTGTAATCCCAGCACTTTGAGAGGCCAAGGCAGGCGGATCACTTGAGGTCAGGAGTTCAAGACCAGCCTGGCCAACATGGTGAAACTCCATCTCTACTAAAAATACAAAAATTAGCTGGGCATGGTGGTGGGTGCCTGTAATCCCAGCTACTCAGGAGGCTGAGGCAGGAGAATTGCTTGAACCTGGGAGGCAGAGGTTGCGGCAAGCTGAGATGGTGCCACTGCACTCCAGCCTAGGCAATAGAGCGAGACTCAGTCTCAAAAAAAAAAAAAAAAAAAAAAAGAACCACATTGCAGGTGAGAAGGAGCAGATGGCTATGAGCCAGAGGCTGGGACCCACTCCCTTGCTGTATCAAAATAGCAAGATTTCTTTTATACATAAGTATAACTCAAGCCCTCCCCGCTAAAAATTGCTTTGTGGTCAGCCTGAGAAATGAGATTGTGTAGTCATAGTGATCAAGCTCTATAAAGGCTATTTGAAAAGGCTACTGATGACATATATTTGAAAGAGGTTGCAGTCTGTATCCAATAAATGGTATACATCTCTAAAGTTGCCACAGTGTTATCTTGAGGAGTGAAAACATTGCAGATACAGAAAGAACCCACAATGTTTGTTCACAGGAGTAAAACACGGAGGTTCTCTTTGTTGGTTGAGGTTTTAACTTTTATAATATGTGACTAGAATTTTTGTCGAGACTACTTTTCTCTTCTATACCAAGACAATATTGATTGATGTATATAGAGATTTATTCTTTCCCACATGCTATGCAAAGTAGGCTACCTGCTGTTCAACTGAAAGTGGTTTCTCTCTAATTTTATATCCATGTTCTTTTTTATCAATCATGTTCTGCATATTCAGAACATAAGCTCCATGAAAAGGAACTGTCTCATCTAGTCCATCAGGTAATATTAGGTGCACAATAAACATTTATGAATACACAAATTAAAGGAAAGGCATATATCATCCAAAAAAAGAATACCCCTCTTTACTGGCATCCAACATGAAAATTAATTCTCCCATCACCAGCACCATAATTTGGCAGAACACAAAAACTTTAATATTTCCTGTGTAACTCCAAGAAACATCAATCTGCCATAGCTCTAGAGGTGTTTCTGATTACTCTGTTCACACCTATTACAGTGTAAGCATTATGACAAAAAGTATTATTGTCATAGAATCAACCAAAACCTATGGTAGCAGATGACAGAAAGGGAGGAAATAGGTTCTGTCTTTTATTTCACCTTCATTGCACACTCTGGATTCCCAATCAGTCCTCCGCACTGACTAGAGTTCTGGGTAAACAACTACACACTAGGTTCCAAAAAAATCAGTATCATTTGAAACTATTTGATCTCAGTTTTTCTTGACTAAGAGAAACACATCATAAGCCTCCTGAGGTCAGTGACCATGACTTCTTTTTTTTTTTTTTAGTTTTCCCCAACCCCATTAGTACCTAATACAATGTAGATAAAGAAAGGTCACTCAAAAATAGATGACAGACTCAGAATATAAGTTTTTTTAAAAAAAGAAGTACAGGAAACAAATAACAGTTCAATCACTAGTGAATTCCAGAAGGCGGTCCTTGCAGTTATGAAGAGAGGAGAAAGGCAGCCCCTGTCCTCTCAGGAGGCCCACAGACTAGAGATGCTTCAAAGCAAACTCTGTCTTTCATATAATAGCTTTTAAAGAAGATAAAAGTAGCCCCTCGCTTCCTGCTCTTTATACCTTTTTACACTATTTTGGAAATAGCACAGGAAGTGACTCGCAGCTGAAAAGCCATTTGTAGCATCACTGAGCCACTAATGGCCACTCACTCCCAGCAGGCTCATTTGTGAAAATATGACTGCAGGTTTAACCTAGTGAGCTTCATGCTTCTAACAACATCCAACAGTCCATAGGTGATTTTGAATATACCCCAGGTTCCAAGTGGATCATGGAACTAAATCATCTCTTATTCTAGCTTGCTCATTTTGAACCAACTCATTTTACAGTGTGGTTAGCATAGCCTTTTCAGTTAAGGATGATTGCTCAAAGCACTTAGGGCAATGTTGTCTTAGCACAGCATCCAGAGTGAGGCAGTTGACACAAATTGCATCTCATGCTCCTTGAGATTTAATGCTCTTACTGCCAGGAGAATATTTTTGCAATGGTTACTGATGTATAACAAAATAAAACATGCATCAAAATCAAACCCCCAATCAACATTCCTATCTAATCCAAGATTCCAATTATATCGCCTTTCTAGTAACCAAGAAGACAATAAAAAAACTATATTTCCTAATATCAAAAGCCTTTGATATGATAAGAATATAGGGGAAAACATTCTTTCTATGGTAAAAGTTCTTTGGTTCTCAAATGAATAAATTGACATTTTAAAGATTTCATACCAAAAATGCTATTCATTCACTTTTTACTTTTTTTATATATACTTTAAGTTTTAGGGTACATGTACACAACGTGCAGGTTAGTTACATATGTATACATGTGCCATGTTGGTGTGCTGCACCCAGTAACTCGTCATTTAGCATTAGGTATCTCTCCTAATGCTATCCCTCCCCCGTCCACCCACCCCACGACAGGCCCCAGTGCGTGATGTTCCCCTTCCTGTGTCCATGTGTTCTCATGTTCAATTCCCACCTATGAGTGAGAACATGCGGTGTTTGGTTTTTTGTCCTTGTGATAGTTTGCTGAGAATGATGGTTTTCAGCTTCATCCATGTCCCTACAAATGACATGAACTCATCATTTTTTATGGCTGCATAGTATTCCATGGTGTATATGTGCCACATTTTCTTAATCCAGTCTATCATTGTTGGACATTTGGGTTGGTTCCAAGTCTTTGTATTGTGAATAGTGCCACAATAAACATACGTGTGCATGTGTCTTTATAGCAGCATGATATATAGTCCTTTGGGTATATACCCAGTAATGGGATGGCTGGGTCAAATGGTATTTCTGTTCTAGATCCCTGAGGAATCACCACATTGACTTCCACAATGGTTGAACTAGTATACAGTCCTACCAACAGTGTAAAAGTGTTCCTATTTCTCCACATCCTCTCCAGCACCTGTTGTTTCCTGACTTTTTACTGATCGCCATTCTAACTGGTATGAGATGGTATCTCATTGTGGTTTTGATTTGCATTTCTCTGATGGCCAGTGATGATGAGCATTTTTTCATGTGTCTTTGGGCTGCATAAATGTCTTCTTGCAAGAAGGGTCTGTTCATATCCTTTGCCCACTTTTTGATGGGGTTGTTTGTTTTTTTCTTGTAAATTTGTTTGAGTTCGTTGTAGATTCTGGATACTAGCCCTGTGTCAGATGAGTAGATTGTGAAAATTTTCTCCCATTCTGTAGGTTGCCTGTTCACTCTGATGGTAGTTTCTTTTGCTGTGCAGAAGCTCTTTAGTTTAATTAGATCCCATTTGTCAATTTTGGCTTTTGTTGCCATTGCTTTTTGTGTTTTAGACATGAGGTCCTTGCCCATGCCTATGTCCTGAATGGTATTGCCTAGGTTTTCTTCTAGGGTTTTTATGGTTTTAGGTCTAACGTTTAAGTCTTTAATCCATCTTGAATTAATTTTTGTATAAGGTGTAAGGAAGGGATCCAGTTTCAGCTTTCTACGTATGACTAGCCAGATTCATAAAGCAAGTCCTTAGAGACCTACAAAGAGACTTAGACTCCCACACAATAATAATGGGAGACTTTAACACCCCACTGTCAACATTAGACAGATCAACGAGACAGAAAGTTAACAAGGATATCCAAGAATTGAACTCGGCTCTGCACCAAGGGGACCTAATAGACATCTACAGAACTCTCCACCCCAAATCAACAGAATATACATTCTTTTCAGCACCACACCACACCTATTCCAAAATTGACCACATAGTTGGAAGTAAAGCACTCCTCAGCAAATGTAAAAGAACAGAAGTTATAACAAACTGTCTCTCAGACCACAGTGCAATCAAACTAGAACTCAGGATTAAGAAACTCATTCAAAACCACTCAACTACATGGAAACTGAACAACCTGCTCGTGAATGACTACTGGGTACATAACGAAATGAAGGCAGAAATAAAGATGTTCTTTGAAACCAACGAGAACAAAGACACAACATACCAGAATCTCTGGGACACATTCAAAGCAGTGTGTAGAGGGAAATTTATAGCACTAAATGCCCACAAGAGAAAGCAGGAAAGATCTAAAATTGACACCCTAACATCACAATTAAAAGAACTAGAGAAGCAAGAGCAAACACATTCAAAAGCTAGCAGAAGGCAAGAAATAACTAAGATCAGAGCAGAACTGAAGGAAATAGAGACACACTTTTTACTTCTTAATCTATACTAAACTTAAACGTTTATTGCAGAGTTCAAAAAATTACAATAATGTATTTATTCTCTCTATTCTATATTGAAGTAAAAAAGAAAACATAGAAAAGAAAGTCACTCTACATATGGAGGATACACCAGGTATCTTATAAAACAATCTTTGTGTAACAATACACACCACTTTCATTTCCTAGAAGCATATTGTGCTGGCAGTCATAAATTTTAAACTGCCCAGTTAGATTTTATACCAAGCAATACAATTTAGCCTTCTGTGGATCCATGAACTCTTTGATTCACCATTCATTAGATGGTCCCACAAATCATCACATACAAGATAACATGCACAGTGTGCATATTTTCCTATTAATTACTTATCCAGTGCTAACATAATTAAGTACTGGCCCTATTACATTGGCTCCTTATTTTAATTACAGTTCTACATCCTGTAATAATGTTAAAGAAAGCCTTTTTGAGCTCACCTGGTTTCATAATCAGAATTTTCTATTCCATTTCTATGATTTTCATTTTAATTGGCCTGATCTTTACAGGTCTAATATTAGACTTAGCTATAATCAGGTATGGATCTGGTTGGAGGGTGTTTATTCTCCTCTCATCCCACTTATTCACTGTTTGTTCAAAAAGATGCCTGGGAAGGACTCAAATAAAAGCAGATGCAAATAAGGATAAACAGACTGGATTTGTTTGCACGAAATTTCAGCTTCAGTGTGTTGGTCATTTGTTCTTTGTAGTCATTTAATTGCACTGTTGAATGTAACATATAGTCTTCTAAAATTTGATAAGTGGACCAGGAAGTCAGTACCTTCAAACAGCTTTGGTCTTTCTGTGAAGTCTGAAGTCTATGGTTATAATTATCATGGCTTCTGTGTACCAATGGTCATTGTATTAACCAGAAGTGAACATCAGAGAAGGCACAAAAAGAAAAATATGCCACTAGAAAAGGAAATTATTCTAATCTCCAAACTATAATTTTGGTATACCTCTTTTTATTTACTTCTTATAGAAAAAAAGAGCCTCCACAAACTTTTAGATGAGTAGGCTATAAATTGTTCAGGGAGTCTGTTCTGCTGGGATAACCTCTCCAAATTTGAGAAACTACTAAGTTTTACCTAAATCAGTGAAGTTTTTGAAGTAACCAAAGCATATAAACACTCTCCTGAAAAGTTAAATGTTTCTAATTCGAACTTCAGATTTAAAAAGAATATACTAGCCAGAGTAATCAGACAAGAGAAAGAATTAAAGGGCATCCAGATTAGTAAAGAGGAAGTCAAACTGTTGCAGTTCATCAACGATATGACCATATACCTAGAAAACTCTAAAGACTCATCCAAAAAGCTCCTAGATCTGATAAATGAATTCCATAAGGTTTCAGGATACAAGATCCATGTATGCAAATTAGTAGCACTGCTATACATCAACATTGACCAAGCTGGGAGTCAAATCAAGAATTCAATCCCTTTTACAACGACTGTGAAATAAATAAATAAATAAATAAATAAATAAATAAATAAATAAATAAATAAAATACTTAGGAATATACATAACCAAGGAAGTGGAGATCTCTACAAGAAAAACTACAAAACATTGCTGAGGGAAATCATAGATGATACAAACAAATAGAAACACATCTCATGCTCATGGATGGGCAGAATCAATATTGTGAAAATGGCCATACTGACAAAAGTAATCTACAGATTCAATGCAAATGCAATTCCCACCAAAATATCATCATCATTCTTCACAAAACTAGAAAAAACAATCCTAAAATTCACATGGAACCAAAAAAGAGCCCACATAGCCAAAGCAAGAGTAAGCAAAAGGAAGAAATCTGGAGGCATCACATTACGTGACTTCAAACTATACCACAAGGCTATAGTTACCAAAACAGCATCGTACTGGTATAAAAGTAGGCATGTAGACCAATGGAACAGAATAGAGAACCCAGAAATAAAGCCAAATAGTTACAGCCAACTATCTTCGACAAAGTAAGAAAAGTATGAAGTGGGGAAAGGACACCCTATTCAACAATTGACCCTGGGATAACTGGCAAGCCACATGGAGAAGAATGAAACTGGATCCTCATCTCTCACCTTATATAAAAATCAACTCAAGATGGACCAAAGAATTAAATCTAAGACCTAAATCTATAAAAAGTCTAGAAGACAATATCAAAAAAAATTATTCTAGATGTTGGCTTAGGCAAAGAATTCATGTCCAAAAACCCAAAAGCAAATGGGACAAAACCAAAAATAAATAGATGGGACCTAATTAAACTAAAAAGTTTCTGCAGAGCAAAAGAAATAATCAGCAGAGTAAATAGGTGACCCACAGCGTGGGCAAAAAATACTCATGAATTATGCATCTGACAAAGATCTAATATCCAGAATCCATAAGGAACTCAAACAAATCAGCAAGCAAAAAACAATCCCATCAAAAAGTGGGCAAAGGACATGAATAGACAATTCTCAAAAGAAGATATACAAATGGCTAAGAATCATATGAAAAAAAATGCTTAACATCAGTAATTATCAGAAAAATGCAAATTAAAACCACATTGAGATATCATCCTACTCCTGCAAGAATGGCCATGATTTAAAAATGCAAAAATAGTGAGCCAAGATCGCGCCACTGCACTCCAGCCTGGGCAACAGAGTAAGACTCTGTCTCAAAAAATAAAAATAAAAATAAAAAAATAAAAAATAAAAAAAACAGATGTTGGCAAAGATGTGGTGAAAAGGGAACACTATTCCACTGCTGGTGGGAATGTAAACTAGTACAACCACTATAGAAAACAATATGGATATTTCTTAAAGAACTAAAAGTATAACTACCATTTGATCCAGCAATCCCAGTACTGGGTATCTACCCAGAGGAAAAGAAGTCATTATATAAAGATGACACTGCACATGCATGTTTATAGCAGCACAATTTGCAATATATATTTGCAAAATATATATTGCAAATATATATATTACATATATATTGCATGTATACACACACACACACACACACACACACACACCATGGAATACTACTCAGCCATAAAAACGAATGAAATAATGGCATTTACAGCAACCTGGATGGAACTGGAGACAATCGTTCTAAGTGAAGTAAATCAGAAATGGAAAAACAAATATCATACGCTCTAACTTATAAGTAGAAGCTAAGGTATGAGGATGCAAAGGCCTAAGAATGATATAATGGACTTTGGAGACATGGGGGAAAGGGTGGGAGGGGGGTGAGGAATAAAGGACTACACATTGAGTACCATGTACACCACTTGGGTGACAGGTGCACCAAAATCTCAGAAATCACCACTAAGCAAACAAAGCAAACAAAAGTATGAAGTGGGGAAAGGACACCCTATTCAACAATTGACCCTGGGATAATTGGCAAGCCACATGGAGAAGAATGAAACTGGATCCTCATCTCTCACCTTATATAAAAATAAACTCAAGATGGACTAAAGAATTAAATCTAAGACCTAAAACTATAAAAAGTCTAGAAGACAACATCAAAAAAACTCTTCTAGATGTTGGCTTAGGCAAAGAATTTGTGTCCAAAAACCCAAAAGCAAATGCAAAAAAAAAGCAAAAATAAACAGATGGGACCTAATTAAACTAATATGGTTTAAACTATTTATGGTTATCCATATAACCAAAAACCACCTGTTCCCCAAAAACTACTGAAACAAAACAAAAAATAATTTTAAAAATTAAAATAAAATAAAAGGAATATATAGCAATGTTTTTAAAAAGACAATGGGTGAATAAATCTAAAAAATATTTAGAAATTAATATTTTTTGTATTAAGTAAATATTTAAGGGTAATTCCAGTATAATTCTGATATTTTTTAAAATATTGTTTTTAATCTCTCAAAAGAAGTAATGTTTTCAAAATTTAAAAAGTAAAAAATAACTTAGAGAAGAATAATATAGTCAGGATTATTTACGTGAGACTGTGTGTGTATTAGTCTGTGTTCATGCTGCTGATAAAGACATACCCAAGACTGGGAAGAAAAAGAGGTTTAATGGACTTACAGTTTCACATGGCGGGGGAGGCCTCACAACATGGCAGAAGGAAAGGAGGAGCAAGTCACGTCTTACATGGATGGTGACAGGCAAAGAGAGAGCTTGTGCAGGGAAACTACCATTTTTAAAACCATCAGATCTCATGAGACTTATTCACTATCACGAGAACAGCCCAGGAAATATCTGCCCCCATGGTTCAATTACCTCCAACTGGGTTCCTCCCACAACACGTAGGAATTGTGGGAGTTACAATTCAAGATGAGATTTGGGTAGGGACACAGCCAAACCATATCAGTGTGGAACTAAAAACTTAATGTAAATAATCAAGAATATCTAGTGATGGCTAAATAAAGGGTATATATACATGCTAAACATAGGTGAACCTTGAAAACATTATGCTTTGTGAAAGAAGTCAGTAACAAAAGAGCACATACTATATGATTCCATTTACAGCTGACCAACACAGGTTTGAACTCATAGACAGGTTATTTTTAATAAAAGTTACAACAAATGTACCTGTCCCTCCTGCTTCCCCTTCCCCCTCCTCCACCTCTGCCACCCCTGAGACAGCAAGACCAACCCCTTGTCTTCTCCTCCTCCTCAGCCTACTCAAGGTGAAGACAATGTGGATGAAGACCTTTCTGACGATTCACTTCCACCTAATGAACAGTAATGATATTTTCCCTTGTTTATCTTAATAACATTTTCTTTTTTCTAGCTTGCTTTATTGTAAGAACATATTATATAATAATGTAACATACAAATATGTTTATGTTATCAGTAGAGCTTCCGGTCAACAGTAGGCTATTAGTACTTAAGTTTTGGGTGAGTCAAAAGTTATATACAGATTTTCAACTGCATAGGAGATTGACACCCATAACCTCCACATTGCTCAAGAATCAACCACATATGAAATATTCAGATTAGGCAAATCCACAGACACGGAAAGTAAATTAGTGTTGCCAGGGGCTGAGCCAGGAGCAGGGGCTTCAGGGGTAGAAGCAATGTGGGGAGAACAGGGAATAACCTGGGTAGGGGGTTTCTTTTTAGGATGTTGAGAATGCTCTACAATTGATTGTGATAATTATTGCCTAATTCAGCAAATTTACTAAAAGCCGTTGAATTGTACATTTTAAATGTTGAATTGTAAAGTATGTGAATTACACAACAATAAAGCTATCATATTAACAAAACATGAGCTTTGGAATGCTAATTTCTGCTATAAATAAGGATTAAAAATGCCTTGTATCAGGAGCCTTAATAATAATAGTCAATGGATTTTCTTTTGAAATATTCCTGGATTAGTCACACAGATGATAATTTCTAATACTTAGACTCTATGTTTTACAAAGGGGGTGAATATCTTACGTACTGTCCCAGGGAAGGTGAAACTGAATAGTGGATGCAATTATCTAAATCACCAGGGCAAGTATCTCCCTATTCCATTGAGAAGGACTATGGATCTGCTGTCACCAAGGGAAAAAAACAATTTAGCATCTGCATTAAGCAGATTATCCATTTGATCAGATTGTCCATTTCAGATTGATCAGAACCACCAAGCTACTGCTCACTTTACTGGCTAGCTCTATTTGCTCCTAAATATCACTTTGTTTCTAGGCCCTCAGACACTTGTCAATATGCTAACAACACATCCAGTCATGTGTTGGACACTCTATCTGCCCCCCTCGTTGTATTTCTGAAAAGAGAGATTTACAATTTAATACACAACTGAAATAAACCTGAAGAAATTAACATGGCTGATATTTTATTTATGGCAGAGAATCAGGTTTTGAAAATACAAAATAAAATTATATTAAGTACTCATGAGCAAAGCCAGGAGCTGGTTTTACTCACCCAGGGACACCCTGTCTCCAATCCAACCTAGGCCACAGGTGACAGGGAGCAGCTCACCGAAGTCAGTTTCATTCCTCTTGACAAATTTTACAGGCATCATCTGTTTCGTTAAAGAGTTAGGGAAGCCAGGCCACAGAGGGCATCAGCGATGAATTTACAGTTCTATGAAACAAGAAATGAACGCTCCTGTCTGACTTCATTTAACAAGAAGGCAATTTTACAAAGCACTCAGATCACGCCTACATGTTCACCATACTTTAATTCTTTGGGTGAATTTATATAAATCCAATGGTAGATTTTAGAATAGATGGAGAGACAGACAAGAGACATAAATAAATTAATAAATAAAAGTTTGTAGAAAGCATAGCGAGAGTGAAATGCAAGATCCGTTGAGAGTCAACCATCCAAAACCAGGGCTGCTCATGTCACTGGCTCTTGGGGAGAAGAGATGTGTGTCAAAGCCCATACATGTCAAATGTACTGGGACCCATCACTCCTTTCTTAGCAGGAAGAGAATATTCAGCATTGGCCTAGACTAAGTCACTTGTCTGGCGATCCTGGCAGCAAATGTCAGAAATCATTGCCCTTCACTTTATCTGTCACTGACACTTTACTGTAGTGTTTTTTCATTCTTCACCAGAGAAAAGAGAAAGTCAACTTAGTGGAGGAGGTGGGGCCATCAGGGGAACGATCGGAAATGATACACTTTTTGAAAATGATGGATTGTCCCAACTGAGTCTAAGTACTCCCTGTTCAGAACACTTGGGACAGGTTATTATTATCCTAGCATGATTCAGAGAGGG